>NC_000010.11:7585757-7737272 GCF_000001405.40 Homo sapiens | reverse complement strand
CCTGGATACTTTCTGCAGGACTCAGAGAGCATGGACTGTTTGAAAGGCAATTTCTAGAGTCTCAGTTTAGACACAGACTCGTTCCTAAAGAAAGCCTTTTCTCCTAGTTTACAAGCAGAAGGCCAGTTCTTGTCTACTCCCCTCCCCCAGAGTCCTCCAGGAAGCAAAACATCCATTGGAATACTGGTGTAGGGCAAGAAACCTGATTCCAATGATTGGGAGCAAGTGCTTGTACAAACCACAGGGCTTCCAATTCTTTGCTTTCAACAAAATTGAAGAAGGGCTCACATTGTCAGCTGATAAATTATACAAAATTTTTTGGACGCTAGGTCTGTATGCATGTTTTGGCATATAATATGAAAGAGTTCAGATAAGCGAGTAACTGAATATAACCAGACACTTGCCATTTCTATCCACTTGTCTATACCAACCAATATTTATCAGGACTTCTGCCCATACAAGTTCTCTTAAAAGTAGAATTGATGCCGAATCCTGTCTCTTTCAATCCATTCGTAAATAATACTTACCCATGAATACATGAAAAACAGTCACATTTTTCCCAGTAAGAGATTATAGATTATTTCCACTCCAGTTTTACTTCTTATTTGTAAACAAATTTATAATCTATTTATATTATTTTGCTCACTTGGCTACTAGTAGTAATATTAATCAGACCAGGTTCAGAAGGGAATTTTGAATACTCAGAATCTTATGGTTATGATTTTTAAATTAAATTCTTAATTAAAATTAAAATGTATAAACTTTTTTTCTTATAGATAAGTGAGGTGATTACTAAAATAAGCATAAAAATATATTACAATAGGATATAGTTCTGCTGGGCAAGTGGAGTGGAAATACAAGTTCAACTAGAAAAAAGAATAATATAAAACTTCCAATAATTTTTTTTCGAGACAAGGTCTTATTCTGTTACTCAGGCTGGAGTGCAGTGGTGTGATTGGCTCACTGCAACCTTCACCTTCCAGGCTCAAGCAATCCTCCCGCCTCAGCCTCCTGAGTATTTGGGACTATGGGCATGTGCCACCATGGCTGGCTAATTTTAGTATTTTTTTCTAAAGATGGGGTTTTGCTATGTTGACCAGGCTCGTCTCATGTTCATAGGCTCAAGCAATTAACCCACTCCAGCCTCCCAAAGTGCTGGGATTATAGGCATGAGCCACCATGACTGGCCAGGTTCTAGTAATTGTAATATAGGATTTGCTTATGTATTTTTTAAAAATGAGTGATAGTGAGTAACCAATTAAGTATTCTGTTTTATTAGATGTATTGAAAACAGTGATATGGTCAGGCACGGTGGCTCACGCCTGTAACCCCAGCACTTTGGGAGGCCAAGGCAAGTGGATCGCCTGAGGTCAGGAGTTCGAGACCAGCCTGGCCAACATGGTAAAACCCCGTCTCTACTAAAATACAAAAAATTAGCTGGGCGTGGTGGCACATGCCTGTAATCCCAGCTACTTGGGAGGCTGAAGCAGGAGAATTGCTTGAACCTGGGAGGCTGAGGTTGCAGGGAGCTGAGATCGTGCCATTGTGCTCCAGCCTGGTAAACAGAGCAAGACTCTGTCTCAAAAAAAAAAAAAAAAGAAAAGAAAAGAAAAGAAAAGAAAAAGAAAACAGTGATGTGACAGTTTTATTTTAAAAGGTCAATATTTATAAAATACTATGATTATGTTAGTTGCATATAGAAATTGTATTTGTTGTCCAGGAATTGGAGGTTGCAGTGAGATGTGATGGCACCCCCAGGAGGCGGGAGTGCAGTGGTCCTCCTGGGCTCGAGAGATCCTCCTGCCTCAGCTTTCCAAACAGGTGAGATTACAGGTGCCCACCATCACACCCAGCTAATGAAAAAAAACTTTTCTTTAGAGATGGGGTCTCGCTATGTTGCCCAGGCTAAGATAAAAAATTTCAAATATTGATGTCAAAAATGTTGGAAGGGGTACGCAGGTTTTCAAAAGTTCCTTTGGGAAACTTGTGAGCAAAATGGTCAACGACCACAGCAATAATCCATCCTCCTCCCAGCTGGCAGGAAGAGCTTGGGCACAGGAGGGCCCAGGGCTGGGAGCAAGAGGTGGGCTGGGGTGGGAGAGAGCGGAGGCACTAGGACTTCGCCCACCCCCGGGGCAAGAGAGCTGCCTGGCCACTTGTCCCCACAGGTGCAGCCCTGACCTGAGCAGCAGGAGGGATCCTGCGGTGGGGCATCCGCCAGCATGCGCTCATCCCCAGCCTCGTTCTCGATCACCAGCGAGGTCAGCGGAGTCACAATGTGGTGGTCTAGAGACATCTGCAGGATCGATCTTGTAATTCTTCTCTTGGCGGCAGCTGTAGGAGCCAGGCTTCTGTATTCAAGAAGTAGAGGTGTTATGGAGCATGGCTGCATTGGAGGGGGAGCGCAAGTCAGCTCCCTGACCCTGCACCCCACCACTGCTGGGGTCCAACCTGGGGGTGGGGCGGAGCCGCAAAGTAACTGGGAAACAGAACTCACTGGCTTCGAGAAGCTGAGTATTTTATCTGGCTAAGTCCCAAGGCATTATTTATTTACTTATTTATTATCATTATTATTTTTGAGACAAGGTCTCGCCCTGTTGCCCAGGCTGGAGTGCAGTGGCACAATCACGGTTCTCTGCAGCCTCAACCTCCTGGGCTCAAGAGATCCTCCTCCCTCAGCCTCCTGAGTAGCTGAGACTACAGGCACATGCCACCACACCCTACTAATTCTTGTATTTTTTGTAGAGATGGGCTTTTGCCATGTTGCCCAGGCTGGTCTCAAACTCTTGGACTCAAGCGATCCACACGCCTTGGCCTCCCAAAGTGCTGGGATTACAGGCATGAGCCATGCATCTGGCTCCCAAGGCATTTTTTTAAAACTTTATACTTTAGAGCAGTTTTAGGTTCACAGTAAAATTATGCAGAAGGTATCAAGATTTTCTATGTCTCCACTGCATACACACGGTCCCCCATATACACGGCCTTCCCCACTATCAACATCCATCCCACATCAGAGTGGTGCATTTGTTACAATGGAAGAAGCTGACACATCATTATCACGCAGAGTCCACAGTTAACGTGGCTGACCCTTGGTGTTGTACATTCTATGGGTTTGGTTAAATGCATAATGACAGGTGTCCACCATTGGAGTATCATATAGGGTATTTTCACTGCCATAAAAATGCTCTGTGCTCCACCTACTCACGTATCTCCCACTCCCCAACCTTTAGCAACTGCTGATCTTTTTATAGGAATTGTTTTAAAATCAATATTTAACTTCTGCAACAATTTGCTATATACCTGTAAATACATCTAGTGTGCTTCTGTCAGAGAGGGAGCTATTTCTCGTTTACTTCACAGTCATAGTTTACAGCCTTGCGTATTTCTTCTAACCTTATTGACATCAGGGATTTTCTCTATGAGTTCAGTCATACAACTGCATTTCATTTTCCCAGCCTCATTTAGACCCTGTTCCACCTTCCTGAGAATCCTGTCTTATAGACAGAATGAGGCTTGGGAATGGGAACTTTTATCAAACACCTCTGTGTAATTTTGATGCAGGTGGTCAACCATCCATTGCTCTGGGGATATAGTTTTCATGTTGGAGAGTTGAGATGCAGCTCAGCTGAGAAGTCAGAGGGGCCATGGATGAGCATGGGGGAGCCCTTCCTTAGGGAACATCATAATCACATAATCATTAAATTCTCTTTGGACAAGAAGCCGTTTTCAAGAGTAAATGCAAATAAATTACTGATACATGAAGCAACCAGAGGGGACATAGATGAGCATAGGGGAGCCCTTCCTTAGGGAACACCATAATCGTTAATAATCATCAATTTCTCTTTGGACAAGAAGCCATTTTCAAGAGTAAATGCAGGGCTGGGTGCAGTGGCTCATGCCTGTAATCCCAGCACATTAGGAAGCCGAGGCAGGCGGGTCATGAGGTCAGGAGATCGAGACAGTAAATGCAAATACATGCCTGATACATGAAGCAACATGGATGAATCTCACCAACATCATATTGAGTGAAAGAAGCCAGGAACAGAGGAATACAGATTGCATGATTATGTGAAATTTAGGATCAGGCAAAACTGATGATCACAGACATTGAAAGAGTGGTTACAGTGGAGGAGGGGGGTGGGTGTTGAGGGAGAACAAGGGAACCTACATCTGGATCTGGGTGGTGATTACACGGATGATAGATATAAAAATCCATTGAATGGTGCACTTAAAATTAATGCATTTTGGCCGGGTGCGGTGGCTCATGCCTGTAATCCCAGTACTTTGGGAGGCCCACTCGGGTGGATCACGAGGTCAGGAGACCGAGACCATCCTGGCTAACATGGTGAAACCCCGTCTCTACTAAAATACAAAAAAATTAGCTGGGCGTGGTGGTGGGCACCAGTAATCCCAGCTACTCAGGAGGCTGAGGCAGGAGAATGGTGTGAACCCGGGAGGCGGAGCTTGCAGTGAGCTGAGATGGCGTCACTGCACTCCAGCCTGGGAGACAGAGCGAGACTCTGCCTCAAAAAAAATAAAAATAAATAAATAAAATAAAAATTAAAAAATTAATGCATTTTGCATACTTTACTGTATGTTATACCTCAATAAAGAAGAAAAAGAGTGAACCCAGCTTTCTCTGAAGTGTTCAGAACTAGTGGAAGGTAATAATCCAAGCCTGTGCTAATGTGCTGTCTTTCTTGCTTCCAAACTCTTTTTGTGTATGACTTCATATATTCACGGTGGACATTTCAGTTTTGCAGATCTCGTGGTGTGGGTACTCTTCTCTTCTTACCGTTCAGCTAGCAGTTGGTTGATGGTTAGATAGGCCCACAGTTTCCTGGTGAAATCGGGATCTGCATGCTTGTCTTTCGATAGAAAATCCTGCAAGTCGTCCATCTGGGCCAGGGTCTCCAAGACTAACTGCGTGTTAGCCTAGATGATGGAAGGTTCAGTTGAGAGACACTGGGTAACAGAATTATAGTTCATTGATTCACATTTTTAGTACCTGCTGCGAATGAATGGGAATAAAAAAGAAATGGAAGGCAAAGCCTACGGAGGAAGGAAATGCATTCCTGTGCTTGGGATTGGGCTTGGGTGAAAAGGTCAGGATTTATGGAATAGCTGGGAAGATGGCAGAGATATTCTCATGCCTTCTCCATCACTGATTGCTTCTGTTCTACACCCATGATTCCAGGCAGGCAGAGCTGACATTCAAGAGGGACTGTATCTAGGGGGTCAGTTAGTAGATAGAATAAATGGATAAGTGGAAGTACCGAAGTCGCCGTGATAACGCTCTCTATTTGATCCAATTTAGCAGGGTCAAATTTTCCTGCCACCACAATCTCTGAGCCTCCAAAGTAGTTATGGAAATTGTTTTGAGTGACGTCCGTGACTGATGTATGGGGATAGTTGAACTGAACATTCCGGAGCAATGGAGTGGAGACCTGGTTGTAGAATTTCTACAATTCACAGAGAGAGAGAGAGAAATTATGTTCCTACTGCTTTGTAGATCTAAAGCATTTTATTTTATTTATTTATTTATTTTGAGACGATGTCTCACTCTGTTGCCCAGGCTGGAGTGCAGTGGTGGGATCTCGTCTCACTGCAATCTCCGGCTCCTGGGTTCAAGCAATTATCCCACCTCAGCCCCACAAGTAGCTGGGATTACGGGCACCCGCCACCAAGCCCGGCTAATTTTTGTATTTTTAGTAGAGACGGGTTTTCACCATCTTGGCCAGGCTGGTCTTGAACTTCTGTCTTGTGATCTGCCTGCCTGGGCCTCCCAAAGTGCTGGGATTACAGGGATTACGCCCAGCTGATCTAAAACATTTTACTCTGAGATTCTTCAAAGAATCAGCAGATACCTCTTAATTTATTCACACAGGACGTTTGGGACAAGGGAAAATGCTCGTAATTATCAGATTAAAAACAGAGAGAAGACAAAGACTTGTTGAGAACATTACCTTTGGTTTAAGAGCCTGGCATTTTTTTCCCTTTCTGTTACGGTCAGCGTGAAAAACTCTTGGACAAACTTATGATAAAAGTCAGCAGGAGGTCGGGCATGGTGGCTTGACCTGTAATCCCAGCACTTTGGGAGGCCAAGGCAGGCGGATCACCTGAGTTCAGGAGTTTGAGACCAGCCTCGCCAACATGGTAAACCCTGTCTCTTCTAAAAATACAAAAATTAGCCGGGCCTGGTGGCACATGCCTGTAATCCTGGCTACTCAGGAGACTGAGGTGCGAGAATCGCCTGAACCCAGGAGGCGGAGGTTGCAGTGAGCCGAGATCGCAGCACTGCACTCCTGAACCACTGCACCACACCATTGCACTGCCATTGAACGTACTTGTCACCCAGCCTGGGTGACAAAGCAAGACTCTGTCTCAAAAAATAATAGTAATAATTAAATTTTTACAAAAGTCAGCTGGGTTAATAGTCCCCAAATCAGAATCTTATCTCTTACTTGTTCCCAAATTTAAATACGATGCCTGGTACTGACAAAGAGCAGGGAAAAACATGTTCTTTCCCTACATCATTTTCTCATCTATTTAATCAAAACAAACAAGTAGTTTGTGTCTTTTCAATATATGTATTTTAATTAAAAAAATTATCTGTTGAACAGATGGATCTCACTATGTTGCCCAAGCTGGCCTTAAACCTCTGGGCTCGAGTGATCCTCCCACCTTGGCCTCCAAAGAGCTGGGATTACAGGCATGAGCCACCACACTCAGCCTGTATCTTAATACTTAAGAAAATTTACACTGTGAAAAATTGATACCAAGATGCCAATGCACGTTAAAGAGAAAACGGTTGGCCATGATGATAAGAAGACCAATTGCTGGTGGGGCAGGAGAGCTACAAGGAGCTTTGATGACGCTCAGAAGGCCTTTTTGTTCAGGGGGTAGGACAGCTGTTCCCAACACCCATCTGCCTCATACCTCACTGTTACTGCAGAAATATGAGGGTGGGGGGAAACATGTGAGAAAGGAACTGGGCACTTCCCTGATCCTTGCAACCAAATATGGCTGAGATCATGACCATTTTGAGTTAAGTTCAGTTATGCATCATACCTGCATCAGATATGGGTAGTTAAATGATTTCCAGTGAAGAATAAAAAAAGAACAGAAGAAAATGTTACCTTAAGCTGGGAAGACGTGTCCTGGTTTCCATAAATCCTTTGTGCAATTCCATGGTTTTCATTGGACAGTCTCTTCAAAAAATCATAGTCCACATCAAATCCCATGCCCAAACTGAACAAGGAGATATTGTCTTGGATGTTCTCCTTAACGTTTTTCTGAATTTTTGACAGTTTTAGTTCGCCTAAAGTTGGTGATGTCCGAAAGGAAAGGAATGAAGAAGCAATATCATAAATTTTCTGGAAAATCCAGGGAGGGCAGTTTAGTAAAGTGTGTCCAGATTAAAACTGCATTTCCCTTTTGACCCAGTAACTCAATTTCTAGTTTTTCTTAGAGATGCACTCGTACATGTTGAAATGAAGTGTGGGTTGTGTTGCATAGCAACATTATTTGGGAATTAGCAACATATTGGAAACAACATAAATATGCACCAATGAGGGCGCTTGGTTAGATGATGATACATTTAAACCGTGAGATACTATGCAGCTATTAAAAAGGACATGGAAACTCCTTATGTATGTATACCAGACAATCTCAAGGGCATGTTTAGAGGAGAAAAAAAAAACAAGGTAAATATCAGGGTACCTAGGATGCATTTGCATGCATGCATGTATAAATGTATGTATGTGTATGTATGCATATACACATACATGTGTGCAAACATGTATATATAGTATACAGGCATGCATAAACTATTTGTGGAAAGATACACAAGAAACTGGTAACCAGTGACTGATTCCAGGGACAGGAACTGAATGGTTGAGAAACAGGAGTGAGAAACCATGATTAAACCAAATTATGGTTTAATTTTGTTTTTTTTTTTGAGACAGAGTCTCACTTTGTTGCCCAGGCTGGAGTGCAGTGGCACGATCTCAGCTCACTGCAACCTCCGCCTCCTGGGTTCAAGGGATTCTCCTGTCTCAGCCTCCCGAATAGCTGGGATTACAGGCACACGCCGCCCTGTCAGGCTAATTTTGTATTTTTAGTAGAGATGGGGTTTCACCATGTTGGCCAGGCTGGTCTTGAATTCCTGACCTCAGGTGATCCACCCACCTCAGCCTCCCAAAGTGCTGGGATTACAGGTGTGAGCCACCATGCCTGGCAAGTTTAATATTTTAAACTATATTTCCTTTTCCACCTTATGATTTCATTCAAAACTTGAATTTTGAAAATAATCTGATCTGAGGGAGAAAACATTGGCTCTACAACAAATACATAACACTGGCTCATTCTAGTCTCGTTATTAATAAGATGGTTGCTCTCTGGCTTTCTAAAGCTCTGACTGCCATTGTTTTTGCCTCGTGCATTTTCATTCTGCTTGGCTGTGTCAGGACGTGTTAGACTCGGTCCTAGTCTGTACGACAGCACACTCAGGCAACACAATCTGGCATTCGCTATTACTTACAGTGGCCAGAATAAAGACACAAGTAAAACAAAGATAGCTTGGCACAGTGGCTCACACCTGTAATCTCAACATTTTGGGAGTCCGAGGTGGGAGGACTGCTTGAGCCCAGGATTTTGAGATCAGCCTGAGCAACATAGTGAGACTTCGTCTCTCCAAAAAAAAAAAGAAAGAAAAAAAAGAAATTAGCTGAGTGTGGTGGTGCACACCTGTAGTCCCAGCTACTCAGGAGGCTGAGGTAGGAGGATCACTTGAGCATGGGAGGTTGAGGCTGCAGTGAGCTGTGTGTGCTCCACTGCACTCCCTCCTGGGTGACAGAGCAAGACCCTGTCTTCAAAAATAAATAAAATAAACTAATGTAACAAAAATAAAAATAAATAATAGAAGTAGGGAGATGTTGCTGCCCATTTTGTAGAAAGAAAAATGTTTAACTTCAAGGTTGTGTCAGAGAGCAGTCATTTCTCCAGGTGCAACCGGGAGAAGTGTGGAGAATAATAGGGAATATGCTACTGTGGCCTCCAAAGGTACTGCTGGGAGATCTGGGATCAATACTCATCATTCACCACCCCCATACACCATCTTCACATACCTCAAGTTGAGGAAATAGATGCATTTCCCTAGAATGCATCAGCAATCCTCACAACATACTATTAAAATTCAGACTCAGATTTCTGCATATTGTGGAGGTGGAACTGAGGCATTCAAGAGCGCCCTTGCTGAAAGTGTCTGAGCAGTAGCTTAAGGGGTGAGGGCTGCAGGATCAGAAGACCTCCTTTAGGAAGCATGGGTTTAAAATGTTCTAGAAACTCAGGCAAATGCCATTAGAGTTCCCCTTTTAGGCAAACCACCATTCCAAGAAACAACAGTGAAAGTGTTTGTCGTGAGAAGGTTGAAGTGACACTTGCCCACTGTTGGATCTCCATCAGAAACCAAAATGATCAGCGAGACGGAGTTGGGGTCTAACAGTCCCAAGTTATTGGCTTCATTCAAAATGAAGATTGCCCGTAGGAGTGCTTCGTTGATGTTTGTGCCTGTTGAAGTAGCATAATGAAACGTTGGGTATGCGTTCTCGCCACACGCAGAAAATCCCATTCTGGATTCAGACTCATATGTCGGCTGATCACTTATCCATCACTTATTCCATGCCAAAATCATTTCATTGCTTTCTGAGTGACACAAACTGTGCTCAAGCTGGTGGTCCCCCAGTGCAGTGAAATATTCACTTTGAAATAAACTATCCCCTTAGAGATGAACTAGCCCTTTCAAAGCACAGACTGTTAGCTTGTTAAACACCAGATTAAAGTATCCAAATCAGCCTTGCCAAGATACTCTGAAGATAGTAACATTTTATGCTTTATGCAGGCAATAAAGAAGGCCAGTGTCACTGAACCTTTTTCTGAGAGACATTAAAACGGTTCAAAGCTTATGTGGGCTGTATTACAAATTCTACTTTCACTACAAACTTAGCATTCATCCATTACCAATAAATGTATTATTTAAGATAGGCCCTCGAATGCTGGGGAAAGACCACTGTGATGGGAATAATGCTTCTTAAGTGAATCATGATTTGAACCCAGAGGAAGTGTCTCCTTGGGATTTAGCCCAACACACTCACCTCCACTGGGCTGGATTTTCTCAATATACCTCTTGGCATCTGCAACCTGTGTTTTTGTAGCTGAAATTAAATCATTTCTCCAAGTTCGAATGTTCTGGTTGAAATCAATCACAGAGAAATGGTCTTCTGCTCTGAGGTCATCCAATATGGTCTTCATTGCTTCCACAGTCTATTTCAATAGAGAATAAAGACAGGTCCCATTACAGAAAATCTGAGCCTCAGAGGAACTAGGAAGACCAATCATTGATCCTGGTCATCTTTCAAGTTCTTCTCAAGCTAAACTTCTTCCAGAAAACCTCTTGAGCCCACCTCAGTCAATGCAGACCTGCCCCTTATTTATTCTGGGCATGTACTGTTGGCTTTTTGATAATTTTACTATCTATTTTGCTATGCACAACCAGTTTGACTAGTCTTTATGTTAAGGATCACAAACTTCGAGTGCCACCTTTATGATGCCTGAAAATAAAATACATTTCTCAAGTCCATCTACTCACCCAGTCTCTTAAACTATTTCCTCATCTTTCTCTTTAAACCACCACCATCACCCTCTTTCTCTAGCTTACGTGTGATGATTTTGATTCCAACTCCACTGAGAAACTGCAGCAGACAGAAGAACATTCCCACAGACTCCCACTACCATAAAATCCCAACCATCAATATTTGTACCCATACATTTTTCTTTCCTACCTGATAATAAAGAACAACTAGCAGTATTTCTACCTAATGCAAACCCATCTATTCATGAACTATTTCATTCCCTCTCTTTGACTAAAGATCATGGCTCCAGCAATTGTCCTTTGCCTCTTCAATTTCCCTATTCTATTGGTACATTTCCATCAACAAAAACATGTTATTTCTCACCCTTCTACAAACCTCATGTGCATCCACTTTCTTCATTTCTCAGCTTTCTTCTGCAATAAAATTCCTTGAGGAATTGTCTAAACACACTGTCTCCAAATCTTCTCTTCCTATTCTCTCATAAGCCCAATCCTTTCGGGTTTTCATCCCTGTCACTCTACTGAAACTGCCCTTGTCAAGGTCACCAATGATGCTAATGTCACTAAATCCAAAGGTCCATCTTCATTTCTCATGCACCGGCAAGTGCTCTCATCTCCCTCCTGAACACAAATTCCTCAATTGTCTTCCAGGGCCTCATTCTCTCTTGATTTTTCTCCCCCACTTACTAATTGTTTTTATTAGTCTCTATCACCAATTATCCTCTTCTTCCCAAATTCCCAATATTGGAATGCTCTGTTGTCTGATCTTGGCTCCCTTGTCCATCTACTCCTCGGCATTCTCACCTAGTCCCAATGCTGACAGTACCTTCTATATGCTGGGGAGTCCTAACTGTGTGTCTCCACATCTCACTTTTGAACACCACGCTTCCATGGCCAACGTGGGTACTTAATAGAAATCTCAGACTTTGCATCCAAAACCAAACTGGGACATTCCCTGCAATGTCTGATTACATTTCTGTCTTTGTCAACTCATGGATGGCCACTTCATCCTTCTAGTCACTCAGGCTAAGTCCTGGGGCATCTTTCACTTCTCTTTTCTTCCCTTGCCTCACAGCTAGCCCTTCAGGATATACTGTTTACTCTACCTTCAAAACAGATTCCAGAATCCAGCTCTGATCATGACTGCACAGGTGTTCCATGAGCCACCTTGCCTCTCACTTCTCAGATCTCATCTCCCACTGCCCCTCTCTACTGGCATCTCTCTCTGTTCTTTGCACACTTTCGACTTAGAACTGTTGCATGAGCTGTTCATTGCATTTAATTCCCTTAGATATCTGCACAACTCTCCCTTCACCTTCTCAGGGTCTCCTCAGAGGTCTTCTCCAGGAAACCACCTATTTAGATGACAAGCCTATTTAAAATTGCATACCCCTGCAATTGCCACTCTTGGTTTTTAACATATGCTTCTTTTATTTTTTAAAAAAACTTTTATCAAAATGCTGCCATTGAACGTACTTGTACATTTGTACTTGCATGTGTATTGTTTATTCTCTGTCCCCTATCCCTCAGATGTAAGTTTCATAAGCACACAGAGGGTAGGCATCCGTTTTTTTTCTGTTTTTTGTTTGGTTTCTGTTTTTATGCTTTGGGTCTGTTTTGCTCATAGATGAACTAAGTGTATGACACATAGTAGGTGCTTCGTAAATATTTGTTAAATGAATGAGTGATGGAAGGAAGGAAGCAGTGAATAAACTGTTGTATTAGAGCAATGTTTCTCAACCAGAGGCAATTATTCCCCCCAGCGGACATTTGGCAATGTCTGACGTTATATTTGATTGTTATGATGCAGGGGAGGTTGTGCTACCAAAATTTAGCAAATAGACCATAGACCATGCTGCTAAGTATCCTGCAATGCACCAGACAGCCCTCCTACAACAAGGAATGACCCCATCCAAAATATCAATAGTCCCACTGCTGAGAAACCCTGCCTGGGAGTACAGACCCAGGCAGGCAGGGTCTGTGAAAGACAGGGTCTTCTTTTTCCTCTTCTTCGTCTTCGTCTTCTTCCTCTTCTTTTTTTTTTTTTTTTTGAGATGGAGTTTCGCTCTTGTTGCCCAGGCTGGAGTGCAATGGCGCGATCTCTGCTCGCTGCAACTCCCGCTTCCTGGGTTCAAGCAATTCTCCTGCCTCAGCCTCCCGAGTAGCTGGGATTACAGGCATGCACCACCACGCCTGGCTAATTTTGTATTTTTAGTAGAGACAGGGTTTCTCCATGTTGGTCAGGCTGGTCTCAAACTCCCAACCTCAGGTGATCCACCTGCCTTGGCCTCCCAAAGTACTGGGATTACAGGCGTGAGCCACTGTGCCTGGCTGACAGGGACTTCTTTTAGGTTCCTTACAGATCTTAGGGTAGTAGTGAACTCTTGGGTGGTCAAAAATAGTTGCCCTATGACTG
Organism: Homo sapiens; assembly: GCF_000001405.40. Lineage (NCBI taxonomy): Eukaryota > Metazoa > Chordata > Mammalia > Primates > Hominidae > Homo > Homo sapiens. The sequence continues at coordinate 7,724,205 of NC_000010.11, read as the reverse complement.
GTTAGTTGGTTGTTCAACTTGGTTGAATGGATGGATGGATTGATGGGTAAGTTAAATCATTTCCTTGTTTGGTCTTTAGTATTGCATCTGTACATCTCACTTATCACTAAGTAAGCCTATATTGAGCTCTGAGCTGGAAAACATAAGATGGATAGCTGCTCTCAAGCAATTACCATATAATTAGAAATAATATGTATATATTGAATCAATAGTCATATGTGGACAATGACAAGATATTATAATAAAACATGTGGAAGAGCAAAAAGAATGTGACTGATCCTTGAAAGAAGAGGTTATATAGAGATTCTGTTTTTCAAAGAGGTGAGTTTTGAGACAGTTTTTCAAGGAAATATTGGATAGAGAGTGGAAAAGAGAAAGAGAAGGAAGAGGAAACAGGAAAGAGGAAGAAGAGAAGGAAGGGAATTTTACACTAGAGGAATGATTAGAAGACGGAGGTGTATGTCCTGTGAAATGCAATAATAGCAAAATTTTAGGAAGAGTTGACACCGGCAGTCTGTAACCACAGTCCCTGAGCTTCAGCCCTAAGCAGGGAGGAGGGATAGAATGATTGCATTTTTAGGAGGGGATCAAAGAAGATAGGGAATCCCCCCAACCACTGCAAACAAGGGGGTACTTACTTGTTTCATTTTAACTCCCCACATGGAGCCACTCACATCGATGACAAAGAGGATGTTTTTGGGAATTGGGTCCAGGTTGTCAGGAGCAAAGAAGTGGACAAAATATCCATTAAACACCTGAAAAATAGAAGGTATTTGTGAGTCAAATCATGATTCGTGTTTAGAAGGTAGGAAGATGGGGACCTGGGGACTCAGAGAAGAGAGGGGTCTACAGGGAGGAGGAGGCGGAGCTTGATGTGCATTTGCCTCCACATTTTCCTGCCTGCTCCCCCACCTCCTCTCCTCTGAGGGTCAAGACCTTCCTAGCAGAACATTCCGCTCCACTCCACTCCACGCTGCTTCACTCCACACCGCTCCACTCCACTTGACTCCTCTCCACACCATGCCACTCCACTCCACGTCACACCACTCCACGCCACGCCACTCCACGCCATGCCAGGGCACTCCGCTCCACACCACACCACGCCACTCCACTCTACTCCACTCCACGCCACGCTGCTCCACTCCACTCCATGCCACTTCACTTCACCCCACTCCACTGCACGCCACTCCACTCCACCCGACTTCACGCCACTCCACTCCACGCCACTTCACTCCACTCCACTCCACTCCACATCACTCAGTCTTTACAGAGAGCCCCTGTTCCAGGCGCCCTGCTAACCAGCGGTGAATCAGGCAGAGCACCTCCCGTCAGGAGGCTCCCAGCCAGCAGAGGATAAGGGTAAGTGGAGGCAATGTGCAGCGCGGTGTGTTCAACACCATGATTAGGAAGTAAAGGGCTCGGCAAGAGCCCCGTGTGCATCTAACGCGCACCCAGGGGACGGTTCTCTAGGAAGCAGCATCTCCACTGGGACCTAAGGATGAGCTCAGACTCAGAAGCTCTCTTGAGAGCTGGGCCAGGTTGAGATAGTGGGGAATGGGGAAGAGAGTTCCAGACAGCGCAGCCCCAGAGATGAGAAAACATGGCATATTTGGGGCTCCATATGTGGTTCAGCAAGATGGGGCCGTAGAATCCAAGAATTCAGGGAACTAGTTGGAGAATCAGCAAGACAGATCACGAAGGACGTGTATGGGCCACTTTAGAAAATTTGGATTTTTCTTGAAGTTAATGAGAGGCTGCCCCAGCTGGACTCCTGACCATCCTCTTTGTCTTCTGCTGCAGGCTTGATGACTGGCTCACCTAATTCTCTTTCCTCTGCCCTTTGGCTGCCTCTTTCCAGGAAACTACAGCATCCAGGTACAGGGTGTGTGCTCCGCTTGCTGTCCCTAGAGAGACTCTTGGAGTTTGCGTACGTTCTAAGAGTCCTCACCTTAGTACAAAGAAAGGAAGACACACGTCTGGGACATGACTGAAGGGGAAAGGAAACTTTTCAAGAAACTTCATGATAAACCTTGGCCTTGAAATTCACCGCTGGCTCTTGATCTTTCTAGGCTGTGGATGCGCCTTCCTCCTCACCCCGTAATCTCTGTGCTTTCTTTGATTGTCTAATTGCAAAGGGCCTTGGGAGCCTATTTAAAATTCCTGTTCTGTAATTATTCCTTTGTTCTTCACATGAGGCCCAGGAATGCCCTCCTGGGACAAGAGCATGAGACCCTATTCATTTAGTTTTTAATACATAAAAGATAATGCTTAGCGGTATATTCAAAGAATATGATTTTAGTCCCTTCTCTGCAGCTAGAAACACTTGCCCTGGCAGCTAGAAACCACCCATAGGCCTGGGAGTTTGTTCAAAAAGGAGCAGCTCTTTGGCACGAGCTTGGCAGTAGAACCAGAGCCGGTGTGCACTCACCTCCAGTTCACCAGCCTTCTCTTCTCTTTTCACGTCATACAGCACCACCAGTTCCCCATCTACCGCAGTCTCCCGGCAGTTAGGGCATATTCTCTGCTGTGCTACCGTGGGCTTGAAGGAGACGTGCGCCTAGAAAGAACGGTGACATCAGAGCCTCTGCCTCTAGCCCCTTCCCAGTGCTTGGCGCTGCCCCTTCTCCAGCACACAGGGAAGAGGAGCTGCCCAATGGACGTTCTGAATCCCCGCGATATCGGTGGACCCATTACTGATGGGAAGGACATGCCAGGGCTTTTGCAGGGAGCATCTCTAGCCTGCCATGCTGTTTGCAAGGTTTCAGACCTTTTTAGAAGAAAGCCGAAGAATTTCCTTCATCCCCTGTAGAAGGGCTGACTATGTGCTTTGGAAAGAGTTTGTGAAATGTTTTAATGCTCTTAGAGGAGTTTCTCCTTACAGGAGTCATAGTTGGTTATCGCTGGTCATTGAGGCAGAGAGCTGAACATGTCTTGCTATGGTTAATGAATGAAAATCTGCCATATAGGATGTGAAAGCTGTCCTTTAGCTACTGGTTAAGCAGGTGACTGACGGGGAAATGAGACTCAAAAAGGGACAATCTCTGGTCAAAATGGAAGGAAAGCACTGGGAGTGTTGTTCTGTGTATCCTGGGGAGGCCCTAGGCTCTACTTGGGGATCCCCATTTCTTCAACAGTGTCCTCAACACCAGCCTGCTTTTCTCTTCTCCAGAGCACAGAAGGAGAACAGAACCCACAATCCAGAGGCCCTGTGAATGCCTGGCAACACACAGGGCTCAGGGTACCTTCTGTTGTCCTTTAGAAATGACCGGAACACCATCGAAATGGCCTTCAAATGTGTCGGGAACATGAAGAAATCTCAGTCCCTGTGGTTCGATAACCCACACATCTACCTAGAGATGCAAGAGAAAATTACCCAAAGCATTAAAAGTCTTTAAAGTCTTTTTAAGCAAGAAGTAAAATTACAAATAAGTCCTCTGATGCTTTTCTCCTCCGCAGGTTTCCCGGGCACGACTCCACGATCTCTCCTGCAGGATCTGCAAGTTCCTGCGATGGGATTCATCTCACCACGGAGGCTTAACCCCCTTCTGTCGACTCAGAGCTCTCCTTCTGCTGCCTCACTCCCCCAGGAGTCGACTCCCTTCCTCATTCTATTCGAGTCTTTTTATTTATAAGAGCATTTGCATTGTTAGGGAAAAAAAGAATTCCTTCTTCTTTTTCCCTCATTGTTAAATAGCACTGCATCTACTCTGTAGACCTGTCAAAAGTAGACCATTTTCCCCAAATCTTGGGTTGTTTTATTTCTTCTCTGTCTTCTTGCTTTGAACAGACCTCATCTAGGGAAATCCCCTTTGGTGATTCTTGACCAAACCACAGTCATAGCTGCCATTTTTTTCTTTTTTAAATTTAATTCTATGATTTGTTTGTTTATATTTTTGTGTAATTATTTTGAAAAATCTGTATAAATTTAAGGAGTACAAATGCAGTTTGGTTACATGAATATATTGCACAGGGATGAAGCCCAGGCTTTTAGTGCAACTACCACCCAAGTAATGTACCTTGTACCCGTTGAGTAATTTCTCATCCCTCACCCCACTCCCACCCTCCCACACTTCTCCCAAGTCTCCCCACTCCCACCCTCCCACACTTCTCCCAAGTCTCCCCACTCCCACCCTCCCACACTTCTCCCAAGTCTCCCCACTCCCACCCTCCCACACTTCTCCCAAGTCTCCCCACTCCCACCCTCCCACACTTCTCCCAAGTCTCCCCACTCCCACCCTCCCACACTTCTCCCAAGTCTCCCCACTCCCACCCTCCCACACTTTCGAGTCTCCAATGTCTATCATTCCCCACCCTATGTCCCCGTGTACACATTATTCAGCTCTCTCTTATAAGTGAGAACCTGTGGTATTTGATTTTCTGTTTCTGAGTTACTTAGCTGCTATTTTTTCTTTTCTTTCTTTCTTTTTTTTTTTTTTTTTTTTTTTGAGACAGGGTCTCATTTTGCCATCCAGCCTGGAGTGCAGTGGCATGATCATAGCTAACTGCAGCCTCGATTTTTTAGGCTCAAGTTATCCTCCTGCCTCAGCCTCCCAAGTGGGTGGGACTACAGGGGAGCACCACCATGCCTGGCTAATTTATTTATTTATTTTCAGTAGAGGTGAGGTATCGCTGTGCTGCCCAGGCTGTCACTCAGTTTTTATTAATATTGTTATTATCAACAGTCTCAGTGATTGTCTCCTCCTAGGCTTAGATGCTAATCACATCTAACCATTGCTTCAAATTATTTACCACGGGATTCATGGCATTGAGGAAGAGAATGTGGGTTACTGACACTCATCCATCATCAGTAGTGGAAAAATGTCCAACAACACACTTAATTGTACAGAGCATCTTGGCCAAGTCACGTGCCCTGGATGGCGCTGCATTTGCCTGAAGGACGGGCATCTTTTTTCAATTCACGCAAAAGCACGGTATGTGCTAGGAGTGGCCCAGAAAAGAACTCAACAGCATAGACTCTGATAGTGAACTGATGCCAAACAGTGGGCATTATTGATCCCACGAGCAGCTTTTCAAATGGGAATTAAAGTTTCATCGTGATTAATTCATTCCCTTTCATCTCCCGTGTCTCCGGGCAATTCACAACCTGTCTGCTTTACTCTCCCATCTGCCGGGGGAGGGGCATGTTGGCCTCTGTACTCTCTTAGGTTTCCTCTTGCCTAGCTCTGCCTCTTACACTAAACAGTCATAGGATGTCACAAAGATTTGAGCAAAGAAAAGAGCAGTTTAGTCTTTATAGCAAGAGATGAAGATGACAGCAGAGGTGAGTTCAGATGGATAGTAATGCAGTGGATGACCGAGGCACTGCTCCCCTGCGGTGATGATGGCTGGGGTGGCAGGGAAGACAATCCACTTAACCTTCATCAAGCTCCTGTCATTGGCCACATATTACAGGAACAGGAAACCAAGTACTGCACATTCTCACTTCTAAGCAGGAGCTAAACATTGAGTACACATGGACACAAAGAAAGGAACAGTTGACACCAGGGCCTACTCGAGGGTGAGGGAGGGAGGAGAGAAAGGATCGGAAAACTACCTATCAGGTACTATGCTCATTACCTGGGTGGTGAAATCATCTGTACACCCAACCCCTGTGACATGGAATTTACCTGTGTAACAAACCTGCACATATGCCCCTGAACTTAAAAGTTAAAAAAAAAATAACTGAGAAACAAAAGTCTGTTACAGTACTCTTTTCATAGATGAGACAGCGAAGACTCAGGATAGCTGGTCCTTGAAGATTAGTGTCTTGGGTTGAATGGTGGCCTCCCCCCCTAAAGATGCGCCCAACCTCTGGAACCTGTGAATGTAGATTTATCTGGAAAAAGAGTCCTTGCAGATGCAATTAAGGATCTTGAGTTGAGATCATCCTGTACTACCTGGTGGACCCCAAATCTAATAGGTGTTCTTGTGAGAGAAAGGCAGAGGGGCATTTAAGATGCTCGGAGGAGGAGAGGATGCGACCGTGGAAGAAGAGATTGGAGTGATCTGACTACAAGGCCACAAGTCAAGGAAGGCTGGCAGCTGCCAGACAGCAGGAGAAGCAAGGAACGGGCTCTCCCCTGGAGCCTCCAGAGAGAGAGAGTGCAGCTCTGCAGACACCTTGACTTCAGACTTCCATGAGAGAATCAATTTCTGTTGTGTTAAGCTGTGGCGTTTGCTGTAACTTGTTATAGCAGACCTCAGAAACCACCATAATACGGCTGCTAAGGAGACCGAGAGCCATAAGGAAGTGGTGTGGCTGACTCCAAACCCACCATCTTTTCAATACATCCCACTGTCTTGTAGAGTTGAGTGGCATCCAACACCACAAGTGCTAGTGACAAGCAGAAAGTATAAATCAGGGTCAGAGACTATAAAAGGACAGTGTCACTGCCCACCCTACAGATCCAGGCTTACCTCTAAGTGTTTGGCCAGCCGTCCAGGTTGCAGATAGATCCTGTGCTCATAGGAGCCCAGCTTCCTCCACTTCACCTCCTGGTAGTGAAGTTCGAACTGCACCTTTGCTCCTGGGAGGACATTTACTTCCGTTCTGAAGTTTTCCATATCAAGAGCGCTGCTCCTAAAGGTGAAAGCCCCCAACAAAAGTCAACAGATACATGATTGAGCAGCAAGACCCAGAATCTAGGCAGAGGGCATGTAGAATTTCCTGGACCGTCCGTTCTGCTCAGTAGTTCATGAAAGTGAACAGTAGGTACACTAGAGATAAGTGCAGCTTCTAGATCAGTTGAATCCCAACAAGAGCTTCAGTCTCCTCTCCTACCCGATCTCCAGCTCCCAGAGCTTCTTACTGACTTGAGTGTTGTCTGCAAAAAACTACCAGGGATTGGCCCCTATCCTGGGCCAGGAATTTGACATCTATCATTGCTGATATAGCTGCTCTGCAATATGGAGATCATTACCCTGACTTTTCAGATGATAAAAAAATTAGGCTTGGGCTGGGTGTGGTGGTTCATGCCTGTAATCCCAGCACTTTGGGAGGCCGAGGCAGGCGGATCACGAGGTCAGGAGTTCGAGACCAGCCTGGCCAACATGGTGAAACCCCGTCTCTACTAAAAATACAAAAATTAGCTGGGCATGGTGGTGTGTTCCTGTAATCCCAGCTACTCAGGAGGCTGAGGCAGGAGAAATGCTTGAACCAGGACCCAGGAGGCAGAGGTTGCGTTGAGCCGAGATCACGCCATTGCACTCCAGTCTGGGTAACAAGAATGAAACTCTGTCTCAAAAAAAAAAAAAAAATAGGCTTGTAGAGGACCTGCTCAAGACCCCATGGCCAGTCCACTGTGGGATCAGAACTCACACCCAAGGTTGGGTGGTTCAAAGATAACACTCTTCCCATACTGCATTTGAGGCTCACTATAGGAGTTCTTGATATTTCTGAAGGTCTTCAGAAAGAAAAACTTTATTATTGCTCAAATTGAGTATGTTTCTCTTTTTTTTTTTTTTTTTTTTGAGCTGGGGTCTCGCTCTGCTGCCCAGGCTGTAGTGCAGTGGTGTGATCTCAGCTCACTGCAACCTCCGCCTCCAGGGCTCAAGCTATTCTCCTACCTCAGCATCCCGAGTAGCTGGGACTACAGGCATGCGCCACCATGCCCAGCTAATTTTTGTATTTTTAGTAGAGTCAGGGTTTCGCCATGTTGACCAGGCTGATCTCAAACTCCTGACCTCAGATGATCCACCCGCCTCCACTTCTGAAAGTGCTGGGATTATAGTCTGAGCCACTGCACCTGGCCTGAGTATGTTTTTCTATCATAAGGCCTTATTTTAGTCACATACATACTGAGTTCAATGTGATCATTGATCTTGAGGTGTTTATGGTTTAAAGAGAAAACAGCAGAATTATCAGTGCTGGTGATTCCAGCGTTAGGATAAACAGGGAATGATTTTTTAAATGAAATAAGTAAATACACTGGGCACAGAGGCTCATGCCTGTAATCCTAGCACTTTGGGAGGCTGAGGTGGGTGGGTCACTTGAGGTCAGGAGTTAACAGCCTGGCCAACATGGTGAAATCCTGTCTCTACTAAAAACGCAAAAATTAGCCGGGTGTGGTGGTGAGTGCCTGTAATCCTAGCTACTCAGGAGGCTGAGAGGGGAGAATTGCTTAGACCTGGGAGGTGGAGGTTGCAGTGAGCCCTGTCTCTCCTAAAAATACAAAAATTAGCCGGGCGTGGTGGTGGGTGCCTATAATCCCAGCTGCTCCGGAGGCTGAGGCAGGAAAATTGCTTAGACCTGGGAGGTGGAGGTTGTAGTGAGCCCTGTCTCTCCTAAAAATACAAAAATTAGCCAGGTGTGGTGGTGGGTGCCTATAATCCCAGCTGCTTGGGAGGCTGAGGCAGGAAAATTGCTTAGACCTGGGAGGTGGATGTTGCAGTGAGCGAGATCACGCCACTGCACTTCACTCTATCCAGGGTGATAGAGTGAAATTTCATTTCAAAAGAAAAGAAATAAATAAGTAAGCAAGGTGAGATGTTGCACAATCAGCCTAAGGGATTGGGGAGTTGTTGTGGATAGTCAGCTTGCGATATCAAATAATTGAAGAAAAAGATGAGCATGGCCTCGTGCAAAGCTTTGAGACAGAGCCTGCAGTGAGACACCGTGTTTACCTGAGGGTGCACTAGGATGGGAGCTCTGCGTTCCCTGCCGTATCTCCAGTGCCTAGAAGAGTTTCTGGTAGAAGTAAGTATTTGTGTGATGGATAAACAAATAAATGAATGGGTGATGTGGTCAAAATGATGGACAAAGATGGCAAAATGATTTTTTTTTTTTTGAGAAGGAATCTTGCTCTGTCACCAGGCTGGAATGCAGTGGCACAATGTCGACTCACTGCAACCTCCAACTCCCTGGTTCAAGCAATTCCCCTGCCTCAGCCTCCTGAGTAGCTGGGATTACAGGCACACGCCACCACGCCCAGCTAATTTACGTAATTTTAGTAGAGACGGGGTTTCACCATGTTGGCCAGGATGGTCTCGGTCTCCTGACCTCATGATCTGCCTGCCTCGACCTCCTAAAGTGCTGGGATTACAGGCGTGAGCCACCACGCCTGGCTGGCAAAATGATTCTTAAAGATAAAAGGACTGATTCACCTGCAGCAAGGCTAGAGGCATTTCCTCTGCTTGGAGCTTCTTCTCTCCATTCTCTACCTGGCTGAATTTTACTACAGTTGGTGCTCTGTATCCTCTGGGGTTTGGTTCCAGGATTCCCCAAGTATACCAAAATCCGGCGATGCCCAAGTCACTGTTATAAAACAGTATGGTGCAGTGGACCCTCCGTATCCACAGGTTTCATCCACAGTTGGTTGAATCTGAGAATGTGAAACCCATGAATACGAAGGCCAGCTGTAATCTACTTGGGCTCAGCTGACACATCAGTCCTCTGTGGGGATTTCCTGGACCCCCAGACAGGATGACACACTCGGCACTCGGAACTCCCATAGTGTTTTTTGTGTACCCTCTCTTCCGTATTAGCCCTTGCCCACTGCAGATATTGTTGTCACAGGTTCCTTGTCTGTCTCCTGCATGAGGCTGACGGTGTCCGCTTTTGTGTTGCTGCTGTCTCTGACAGAACTGGTACAGAGCTTGCATTTGATGCATTTTTGTTGAATGAACAAATGCATGAATGAAAGGAAAAGAACTTCAACTACAGGTGAGTTTGGGGATGTAAGAGAAGAGGAGAGGAGGAAAGAAACACGGCAGCATTTGGCCTAATAGTGAGCGTGGGCCAGGCACAGTGGCTCACGCCTGTAATCCCAGCAGTTTGGGAGGCCGAGGCGGGCGGATCACGAGGTCAGGAGATCGAGACCATCCTGGCCAACACGGTGAAACCCCGTCTCTACTGAAAAATACAAAAAATTAGCCGGGCATGGTGATGGGTGCCTGTAGTCCCAGCTACTCTGGAGGCTGAGGCAGGAGAATGGCGTGAACCCGGGGGGCGGAGCTTGCAGTGAGCCGAGATCGCACCACTGCACTCCAGCCTGGGCGACAGAGCGAGATTCCGTCTCAAAAAAAAAAAAAAAAAAAAAAAATAGTGAGTGTGCAGTGCAAGGAGTGAGAAGGTGAACATCCCTTTGAAGATTTTTTCCCTTTGAAGAGAAGCTACTTTTTGAGGGTGGCTTGGCATTCCCAGGTCTTACTTAGATTATAAGGGGAAAAAATAAACAAAGCCTAAGTGAAGTAACTGATGCTTAAGAAGACCCTATCGCAGCCCAGCATGGTGGTTTCAGCCCGTAATCCCAGTACTTTGGGAGGCTGACATGGGAGGATCGCTTGAGGCCAGCCTAGACAACAAAGCAAGGCCTTATCTCTACAAAAACTAAAAAAATTCGTCAGGCATGGTGGTGCACCCCAAGTCCCAGCTACTTGGGAGGCTGAGGCATTCCCGCTTGGGGCCAGGAGTTCGAGGTTGTAGTGAGCCGTGATCAAACCACTGCATTCCAGCCTGGGCAAAAAATTAAGACCTCATCTCAAACAACAACAACAACAACTACAATTAAAAAAAACCCCTTATCCCTACAAGTAGTCAGAATAAATCATTAAGGCAAATTTCAAACTTTTCCTTCTGCTTATATGTTAAGTTTCGTAACAAGATCACAAGATCACCAATATTTCTGTAGTTTCTCTCTTCACTCTTTAGAAAAAGCAGTGTTTATTTACAGAACATCCATCTACCTGCAAGACAGTGATGTAAGCACAACCAGCGTGGGATCACCCAAAACCCATTGGTTGAAGAGGGACCTTTAGGCGAATAGAAACTGCAGTGCCTAATTCTAACATCTGGCTCTGAGGAGGTTGCCATTGGCTCAGGTGCTGTGCCTTTCCAGAGGCTGCTTTGCTGCTGTGGGAAGGAAGTAGGAGAGGAAACCGTCATTGAGAGGCAAGGGCAAGCCTTGCTCACTCAGGCCTTACCTCACCAAGCCAGCCGTCTTGCCTTTTGCTCTGGCCTGTGCATAAAGAGCTCGGCCCACAGTTTTCTCCTTAATAGAGCTCCTAAATGTCTTGCCGTCCACAGTCCTAGAAAATGACAGAAGGTAACCAGTTGGTCAGAATAGTAATCTTTTTTTTTTTTCCCCTCGAGATGGAGTCTTGCTCTGTCACCCAGGCTGGAGTGCAATGGTGCAATCTCAGTTCAGTGCAACCTCCACCTCCTGGGTTCAAGCAATTCTCCTGCTTCAGCCCCCTGAGTAGCTGGGATTATAGGCGTCTGCCACCAGGCCAGGCTAATTTTTTGTATTTTTAGTAGAGATTGGGTTTCGCCATGTTGGCCAGGATGGTCTCGATCTCCTGACCTCATGATCCACCTGGCTTGGCCTCCCAAAGTGCTGGGATTACAGGTGTGAGCCACCGCGCCTGGCCCAGAATAGTAATCTTAGCAAAACAAACAAGAGCGAGCAAACAACCCAACAAGGCTAATTTAATGAATGAGGGCAATGATCATTTTGTGTCTATAAGAAATAAGAAGGGAGGCATTCAAATAGTTTATGGACAGGACTTCCTTTATTGATTGGATAGTGTGGCTTGAGAGGGGTTTGGTAGGCTCCCATCCTAAAACCTTTCCCTCATGTACTGTTGTTTGTTTATAGATTTTTCCTCATCTTTGAATTTCATCCTTTAGATTAAGGATGGTTCTCTTTGGGTATCCCCTTTGAATGACAAATGTGATTAGGGGAGGTGACTGATAAATTCCGAATTATCTCATTACTGGTTCATCAGGTCATTCTGTGAGCTAAGAATTTGGCATCGCTGTGGGGTATGCAATGGACCGAATGTTTATGTTCCCCGCAAATGTGCATGTTGAACCTTACTTCCTAGGACGATGACATTACGAGGTGGGGCCTTGGAGAGGGCTCTCTCCTCATGAATAGCATTTAGTGCTGTCATAAAAAACAGACTTCGAAGAGCTCTCTCATCTCTTTCCATCTTGACTGAACCAGGAAATGGGCCCTCACCAGACACGAAATCCTTGGGCATCTTGATCTCGGACTTCCCGGCCTTCAGAACTATGAATTTTAAATTTCTGTTGTTTATAATCTACCCATTTTATGGTACTTAGTCATAGCAGCCGGAGCTGATGAAGACAGAATATTATGCTCCTCTGCAAGGGTGGAAAAGAATAAAGAAAAAGGGGGAAGGTGCTGGTGGGTCCCCTGCCAAGGTGGTGTTTATCTGGAAACCATCTCCCTTGGGGACCTCTGTCTTCTATTTGCATCTCATCTCTATACACCTTACCTTTAGCTGGCTAGCACCTAATCCTTACCAAGTAATGGTTGGTCAGAGTGGTAGAATCCAGAATTTTGGAAGTACATGGGAACTTCCAGTACTCAAATGGGCAGTGTCTTTCCCAAGGAGCAATTTGGAAATGTGTGAAGTTTGGGTTGTTGAGATGACTTGGAAGTGCTGCTGGCATTTGTGGGAGGACACCACGAATGTTAGTCATCCTGCAATATGAGGGACAGCTCCACTGAAGAATTTTCCTGCCCCAAATGCCAACAGCACGTGTGTTGAGGCACACTTGTGGGTTTGCCCCTTTAGATGAGAGACATCAGACCCCAGGAGACAGGTGACTCTTGCCAAGGTCACACTGCTGGTCAAGGCCATCATGCTTCTATCGAATCAGAACTAAGTCTCAAAGGCCAAGGGGTCTTTAGGACAAAGGAAATCATCTCCCATAGAATATTCAAGATCTTGATAAAAAGGTAAAAGGGATATTTTGGCTAGTACATAGGTCTACACAGCTCATTTTAAGTTGTGATAATTAAGCAGGTATCTTCTCTGGTCTTATAGATTCAGCTCAGAGCAGAGGGAGATAAAAGTAAATGCATGTTTCACGATTCTGTCCTTTGTACTTCAAATCTTCTATGTAATGAGATAGTAAAGAAAGAACAGAATGAAGGACGGAATAGTATGCAGCCATAAAAAGGAATAAGATCATGTCCTTTGCAGGGACATGGTTGAAGCTGTAAGCCATCTTCCTCAGCAAACTAACACAGGAACAGAAAATCAAACACTGTATGTTCTCACTCATAAGTGGGAGTTGAACAATGAGAACACATGGACACAGGGAGGGGAATATTACACACCGTGTCCTGTCGGGCGGTAGGGGGCAAGGGGAGGGAGAGCATTAGGACAAACAGCTAACGCATGTGGGGCTTAAAACCTAGATGATGGGATGATAGGTGCAGCAAACCACCATGGCACATGTGTACCTATGTAACAAACCTATACATTCTGCACACGTATCCCAGAACTTAAAGTAAAAAAGAAAAAAAAAAAAGAAGGAAAACAGAAATAAGAGATCTTTTGAGTAAATTCTGATTGTGTGGTTTAAAAATAGGAATTTATTAAAATAGTTTTCAATGTCATTTCTAGACATGGGGTCATATAATACCAGTACAGAAAAGCCTTTCCTTCTCCCTTTGCTTTTTAGAAAAGGCAGACAAAAAAAGTGATACATTTTAAAGCCAATTCAAAGGATACCAATTAAAGTGACACAATGCCTTTTTCTGCCTATTTGGTTAGAGTTCACATGACTGCCACTTTCGGCAGCCAAAGTACATGGTGGTTGAACCCTTTACTATTTATCCACAATGATCACTGATTACCTTGGTGTATGAAAGACAAAAGTGGATGAGAAGTAATTCAACCTAATGTCTTCATAAAAAAAAAATAGCCAGACTTTATGCACAGTACTTTGCTGTGTTCTTGGCAACTTAAGAGGGACATTGACCACCTGGAACATACTCTGGGTTGGCCACCTTGATATTTGGACATAGAAATCATTCCAATCACTTAGAGGAACAGAGAATATTTAACTTTGATACATGAAGGCTCCAAGTGGATAACTGGTATTAACTGTTTGGAAAGTATTGGAGTAGTTTAACCTTCTTTTATTACGAAAAATTTCAAACACACAGAAAATAGAGGGAATAATATGAGATGTCCATGAAACCATCACTGAGCTACACCATTATGAATACTCAGCCAATCTTAATTTGTCTGTACTCTCATGCTTTCCACCTTAGTTGTTAAGAAGCCAAGTTCAAGGCCAGGCACGGTGGCTCACGCCTGTAATCCCAACACTTTGGGAGGCCGAGGCGGGCAGATCACGAGGTCAAGAGATCGAGACCATCCTGGCTAACACGGTGAAACTCCGTCTCTACTAAAAATACGAAAATTAGCCAGGCATGGTGGCGGGTGCCTGTAGTCCCAGCTACTCAGGAGGCTGAGGCAGGAGAATGGTGTGAACCCGGGAGGCGGAGCTTGCAGTGAGCCGAGATCACGCCACTGCACTCCAGCCTGGGCGACAGAGCGAGACTCCATCTCAAAAAAAAAAGAAGCCAAGCTCAGATGGCACATCATTTCATCTATGAACACTTCAATATGTATTTTGTAGAGAGCTTTTTAAAAATTCTATGTGATTATCACTAGAGTCATTGGGTAGAAAGTGGAAAATATTTGAAGTATAAGAAAGGACTCTTAACAGAGCTGTCAATCACTGAGTTGATTGCCTTGGGAAAAGTGAGTTTATCATCAAGGAAATCATCACACACTTGTCAGCGGTGTTATAGAGGAGGTCAAGCACTGGATAAGTAATTAGATTTAATCTGTGGTTCTCAACTTGTTTTTTTTTTCCCATAGAGAAACATATGGCAGATGGCATTGACCTGCTGTGCACACGCTCTTATGTGGTTTCCTATAAGCCAGGGCAACCCAGTATATTTTTCTCCTCCCTAGAAAGTATATTAAAATGCAAGTAAGTATGAGGTTGTTACCACAGAGATAGCCTTAAGTTTGCTTTAGCTTATTAGAAACAAAAAGCAAATAATTCACAAGTTCTAACGCTTTGAAGAGGAGAAAATTATTGGGACCAACCTCACAATGACCCTTGACATCCAGCCGGTCCTCTGGGACAGTTGACCACTAAAGTCCATTCTAACTATGAGGGGTTTTGATTCTGTGAGTAGAGCACCTACAATTTCTGGCTCTACACAGAAGTTACTCACATGGAGAAGTTGGAAATGAATGCTCCTTTGGGGATCTGAACATCAAACACGACATTCTGAGGCTGCGGGGAATTGTTCACCACTTTGCTCTGGATCATGGTGGTGGCCATCCGAGAAGTAATAGTAGACTGGACTTTATAGCTATAAAGAGTTACTTGATCAACCTCTTCCTGAAATTGGCAAGAAAGCATAACTGTACTGATAGAAAAATCACACAGAACTTCATCAAATGTAGTGCATTTGATGTTAACAACACTACATTTTACTTGTTTTACTAGCAGAACAATTCCAGGGCCTTGGTAAGGACAGAATTCATGTATGGTTAAGCATTCTCCTAACTTCTTGGAACCCGCAATGAGCAGAAGTCTGCCTTGGTTTCAAGATACTTTGAGCTAAAAGGCATTTTTCAGCCCTATGAGTCTATAAATAATGATTTTTCAAAAATTAGAATACAAGTAGAAAACGGTGTGGGAAGCCAGATTGGATTGAGGAAGTCCAGGTAATAACTCCAAATGCAAGACCATCAGCTGGGGAGAGGATACTGGATTGCGAGGTTGAAAGAGGAACTTGGTTGTATCTTTAGTAGGGGTCACACAGGGGTGCTGTGGGGTGGAAACACACATATGGCCTCCACCAACCCCCCCTTACAGCTCTCTACCTTCTTTAATCTCCTCTATTACAATTTCATCTGCAGTCCTTTTCTCCTCCCCCAAGTCAAAACAAGCTAGGAGAACAGTGACGGGTGTAAGCAAGAGACATTGATCTTGGACAGGGCATTCTGATGCAAGTATTGGTCCAACACTCTGGACCTCCTTACCCGATCACTACTGATTTAAAGCAGCTCCTGTGTGAAGAATCACATATGTAAGTGTGCTCAAAGGCAAGGTCCTAGAAACCCACACCTTTCAGGAGGTGACTGAGAGCTGCAAGCTCCTTCAGGTCTATGGACAACTATGAGACCCATTAGATTTTGCTTTTTTCTCCAAAAGAATTTACTTATCTCAATACCAGGTCTCATTCCCCAAACTTTGTAGTCCAACATTAAACCTTTCGACTAATTAACCATGCAACTCACCTCAAGCTAAAATAAAATCCAGGCTAATCTATGTGTCCTTCCTCCCCCTGAAGTGTGCACTTCTGGCAGTTTCTGCCAATTCAGGGCAGGAAGCACAACATAAGCCACTTGTCCTCAGGCTGTTTTCTTGCCACAGGATGGTCTACTCTGAACATCTCAGGGAACTGGGCCGTTTTGTGTTTAAAAGTTCCTTTCCACGGGCACTCTTTTATTTTCCAAAGCTGTCAGGTGTCATACTTTAAATCAAAATGGTGCTGGAAGCAATGGCTCATGCCTGTAATCCCAGCACTTTGGGAGGCTGAGGGAGGTGGATCACCCGAGGTCAGGAGTTCGAGACCAGCCTGGCCAACATGGTGAAACCCCATCTCTACTAAAAACACAAAAATTAGCTGGGCGAGGAGACATATGCCTGTAATCCCAGCTACTTGAGAGGCTGAGGCAGAGAATCTCTTGAACCCAGGGGGCAGAGGTTGCAGTGAGCTGAGATCATGCCATTGCACTCCAGCCTGGGCAACAAAAGTGAAACTCTGTCTCAAAAAAATAAAAATAAAAATGAAAACGTAAAAATAAATACATAAATCAAAAAGGTTGAGTAGGAATAAATACATAAATTTATACAGTGGGAAGGAACCTATGATATATGGCAAAACTCAAGAAAATGAAGAGAAGGGCCCCTTCAGCTCTTGGTGGCCTCTCTCCTGTCTGTAAAGACTGCACTCTTCAATGCTGAATTTTAGAAACACTTGCAAACAGTTGGGCAAGGCAGTATTTCGAAAGTCAGGTAAATACTCGGTGATGAAGAAAAAAGAGACACCCAGATTGATTTCCTGGTAATTATTAACAGGAAAATCATTCAATCTGTAACAACATCAAGTCAACTTACCATCATTTCTTCCGATTCTCCTGGAAGGCTTCTCTGTGAAAGGAAGTTAGACAATCATTCTTCAACTGTATGTCACTTATTACCTTGAGAGCCAAAACCGTTTTCTCAGTCAAAAAAGAAATTTTATTTTTCTTCAATACTGAGCTGTTATTCATTCACTGGAGTTGAGACATAAATATTGAATATTCTTGAAAACTATTTTCCCACTGGTGAGTTTCTCAATAAGTTTCTCAACCAGTTCTGGTGGCGTGTGTGTCATTCTTGGATATAATGCTAGAACAAGTAATTTTTAAATAAAAATATTCAACCAAATGCATCCTGGGTAGCGTATATCCCCTTGATGCTATTTGCTCTATTTTTTACTCAGTTGAATGGAGACTTTGATCCTCCATTCGGCCATGAGGCTGTGGGCATGCTGTTCCCACTGTTTGCAGTGCCCCTGCTAGGTTCCTCAACCCCCATATGGAGAACTCCTACTCACCCTTCAGATCTCAGCTCCAGCAGAATTCCTCCAGTGAAAATCTCTAACACCCCAAGACTAGGTCGGTTTCCTTTACTAAGTGTTTTTGCAGCAGCATATTCCTTCCTGCAGAGTGCTCACCTTGTTTCATAATGATTCATTCTATTTGAGGGATTATTTGACTAAAGTCTGTCTCTTCCTTTAAACTAAGCTACATAAAAGCAGGGATTTTCATGTATTTCCTCCACAGTGTAACCCCTGAGGCAAACACAGTGACTGGCACCTAGAAAATTCTATGCTTTTAACCACCATGCTAGGAGATTATCCATACACTTGACTGTCCTGAGGAAATGAACAAAGGCGATTCCCTTGCCTTTGAAAGTGAATGGCTTAAGGGTGGTGGGTGAACATGTAATGTTTGGTGAGCTGTTAATAATAGATCCAAGAAGTCGGGTGTTGGATATAAGCTCAGCTTGCCTGATTCGGGGTGAACTGAGGTTCTGTGCTGTGTGACATGGTGAGGTCAATGGTTGACCTCTTCTTGTAGACTTCTTGAATGCAATGCTCAATGACAAATTTTTCTCTCTTGTGGCTAAATAAATTGTGACATGAAGTCTTGCTTATTGGATTTTAATATTATTAGTCTACAAAAAAAAATCCTGGATTTTCAGAAAGTAAAAAATTCACACCCATACAAAATAAGACATTGATCAGCTTAGGGTTGCTGCTTCCGTAAATACCTCCTCTCTCAGCATGTGGGCTCCGTGGGGAAGAAGCCAAGCCCTTCCTGGTGTTCTGGAAAACTCACCCCCTTAATTAGAGGGTTTTGTCTATACTGCTGCTGGTGGCCGCCAGGATTGCAACTTCCAATGTGGCCAATTCTCCTTCTCAGGTGCCCTCAGAGTGACCAGAGGAAGGAGATTGTGAGGCTGCAAGGGGGAGTGTCTGTCATCGCTAAAATAAGAAAAGTCTTCCTAACAGGAAATCCTTCCGGCAAGGCAGGAAATAATTTCGGAATCTTAAGTTTTGAAGAAAACACATAGCCATGTATTCTTTTTTTTTTTTTTTTTTTTAAATGGAGTGGGGACAGCGTCTCCCTCTGTTGCCCAGGCTGGTGCAATCATAGCTCACTGCAGCCTCGAACTCTTGGGTTCAAGTGATCCTCCATCTCAGCTTCTCAAATAGCTGGGATTACAGGTGCATGCCAGCTAATATATATATTAGCTGGGTGGCAGAGGTAGAGCCTCACTATGTTACCCAGGCTGATCTGGAACTCCTGGCCTCAAGTGATCCTCCCTCCTTGGCCTCTGAAAATGCTGTGATTATAAGTGGGAGCCACTGTGCTGAGTCGTGTACTCTTTAAGGGACTAAATTGAGCATTATGGTGTGAAGGCTGCTGAGCAGTTGTGTGAGTTTCTCTTTTTATTTCACCTGGGTGATCTCTTCCACCAAGGTGTAAGAAGTCTGGACTCTTCTGTGCTAAAAAACAAACTCTTAAGAAAATCTAGCAGAAGGCATCTTAACACTTGTCTTCTTCTGCCATAATCTCTTTCACTTTTTTTCCCCCTTTTGGGAGTAAACCTTACTATACCTGATATCTCCGGTTCTCTGCCACCAATTGAAATTTGCCTGGGGCCAGTTCCACAAGATCTTCATAGTCTACAAACTTAAAAAAAATTAGGATTTTAACTTTTTTTTTTTTAATTATACTGTAAGTTCTGGGGTACATGTGCACAACGTGCAGATTTGTTACATAGGTATACATGTGCCATGTTGGTTTGCTACACCCATTAACTCATCATTTACGTCAGGTATTTCTCCTAATGCTATCCCTCCCCTAGCCCCCCACCCCCTGACAGGCCCCAGTGTGTGATGTTCCCCTTCCTGTGTCCATGTGTTCTCGTTGTTCGACTCCCACTTATGAGTGAGAACATGCGGTGTTGGGTTTTCCCTTCTTGTGTTACTTTGCTGAGAATGATGATTTCCAAAAGATCTAGAGCCAAAGAGATAGCTGTTGGTATTCATTATTTTATATTCTTTCCTCTACCTCTGGGCAATCACAATTTTGTATAAAATGATTTCTTTAGTATATTTCTATTTGCTGGTTACGTCTCAGAGGTGTCCAAATGGAGGGTAACAACACCTTCGCATTTGTTGGACATGGGAATTCATTTTTGAGTTTGCCAGCAGGTGGTAAGACAGAGATCAAAACAACCCAGTGATTAGGTGGGTGTCTGGGGAAGTATCTGGGTAGACCCTGGAGGCATTTGCAGTGTCTGACTGGACAGACATGAACCATACATCTCCCCAAGTTAAAAATGTAGGTATTTTCTAAAAGGAAATGCCAGTTAGAAATGACTGAAAAAGCACAAACACATTTGGATGTCTTGGCTTCAATTTGAGATTTCTAACACACTCTGGTGGCTTTTAAGTGTTGGAAAATATGATAGTTTCAAAGCAGACAGAGTGATATTTTCCCTTTGTAAATATGCCGTCATATTCTCTGGCATTTTTATAGGTAATCCACTCTGCAAGTATTATAAGCCTTTGCATTTGCTGGGATGTTCCCATAACATGCTTCGCTTTTCTGGCATAAAAATAGCTCTTGTATGACTTTCAGAAACAGACTTTCAGTCCAAGACTTTCCTTACATTGGAGATGGCTAAGGGACAAAAGTGGAGACCTGTACTCCATGGGAATTATTCTTGTACTTTTCCACCCTGCCTGCTATCTTCCGCTTTAATAGGAATACTTAAAGTGCTCTTATTACAAATATCACTGTTCACTTAGATATGAAAAACAGTGTGCTTTGATAATGACTTTTCTTATACTCTTAGTAAAAGAGTGATAATATTTCTTCATCATCATAACAGCTAGTAATTATTAAGCACTTACTAGTCCAGGCGCTCTGCTAGAAGAGTTTACACTGTGTCATTTAATTCTCAAAGCAAACCATTGGGTTAGGTCTATTCTTACCCCCAATTTTTTAGGTGAGGAGTGAGCAGCTCTGCTCCATAAATGCTACGCTCTGATGCCTGCCCATTGATCTTGACTTAATTTTCATGCAAAACCTGTTAATGCTTTAAAAGGTAAATATACATTCCAGTAATTATAACAGTAAACACTTGCACTCAGATGAATTTTATCTTAAGTTTCCATTACACACAGAATAAGGCCATTGAATAGCGATTCCAATAGATGATTTACTGAGCTCATGAACAAGCCAACAGCAAGGAGTGATCTGTAAGTACTTACTTCAGAAAGTCCATTTATGGGGATTTCGAAGCCTGATACTTCAGAAAGAAAGAAGCAGATGAAAAAGCACGTGAGTCTTTTCATTTTGCTGGACAGTTTTGCCAAGCTCCCCAAAGCAGATGGTCTGGGGAGGATATCACTTCTTCCTACTGAACCAAGTTCAAAGGAACAGCAGAGGAGTACAGTTCGCTTTAAGAAAGAAGAAAAAAGAAGAAAAAACTCTCTAACTTTGTTCAAAATTGGGACAAATATTTGTTCTGGAGCTCAAACTTGAGCTGTGTGGGTGGATCGAACACCCAGAGGTTATTCAAACAGCAAAGTCAGAAGCAGTTGCTTACTGTGAGGACAAGTCAGGGGCAGATGGATGTGCTTGAATGTGCTTGTGTGCTTTTATTTTATTTTTATTTTTTATTTTTTGGCTTTTGCTGATTTCTATTGATCTTAAAATCAGAGAGACCTACAGATAATTGTCATCCTTTCTAAAGGACCAAGTGCAGAACTATTCCAAGAAACAAAATCCTTTGATCTAAATGAAAGCAGGAAAAATTTAGAAAAAGTGGGAGAAGACACAGAAGGGTTTTTCTGAGCAAAGAATTCATTGTGCATGTTTTCCCCTATCTCTTTGATGACTGTCTACCTGTTACCTATAAAGACCCAGGCAAGTGGCTGTGCAGGATACTAGGGCAGATCTTCAGTGAGAATGCTTCGTGAATGTCTTTGATTAAGGTAACAGTGTCTGTCCTGCTGCCCCTATCAGCCGGGCTCAGGTCAGTGGCAAATCAATACTCCCCAGTCTCAGAATTGGAGTGCAGTGGTGAGATCAAAGCTCATTGCAGCCTCAACTTCCCCCGGCTCAAGCAATCTGCCCACCTCAGCCTCCAGAGTAGCTGGACTACAGGTGTGCACTACACTGCCTGGCTATTTTTTGTAGAGATGGGATTTCATCATGTTGCTCATCCTGGTCTTGAACACCTGGGCTCAAGCTATCTGCTTGCCTCAGCCTCCGAAACTGCTGGGATTCCAGATGTGAGCCCCCATGCCTAGCCTCCATCCTGGTCAGATTCTATTTTTCTTGCAACAAACAGGAAATGTAACTTCTTGGATGCAACACTGAAATAGGAAGCTCCAGCTGTGGGCAGAATTACAATACAAGGGAGGTTGTCTTATCCTCAGGACCAAGCACCCCAGGCCAACTTCTGGGATCCTGGAGCTCCTTGCTACATTTAAAGCCCAATTCACAGGGCATGCAACAGAGAGTTTTCTGCATTTTCCTCCCTAGTTTCCCCTCAGTCTTCGAAATTGCACAGCCGTGTGTCTGCTGGAGAAACATAACTTCTGAAATAATGGAAGGGAGAAAACAGATTCTCCCCTCCCTTGCCTAGGTTGGACTAGTTGAGCGCCCACCTTGGCCAGTGAGTGCCTCAGTGGACCCCTCATGGAAAAATCCTGCCACAGCTTTGCATTCTTGACTGAGATACTGTTTCTGGAGAATTAAGACCCAATGGCAGCTGGGCGCGGTGGCTCACACTTGTAATCCCAGCACTTTGGGAGACTGAGGCGGGTGGATGACCTGAGGTCAGGAGTTTGAGACCAGCCTGGCCAACATAGTGCAACCCCGTCTCTACTAAAAATACAAAAATTAGCCAGGTGTGGTGGCATGCGCCTGTAATCCCAGCTACTTGGGAGGCTGAGGCATGAGAATTGCTTGAACTGGGGAGGCGGAGGTTAGAGTGAGCTGAGATCACGCCACTGCATTCCACCTGGGCAACAGGGCAAGACTTGGTCTCAAAAGAAAAAAATAAATAAATAATAAAAAACCCAATGGCATGTTCTCCCAAAAACAGCAGTGACTTTCAAAATCATACCTCCTTCCATTGATCATTTCCTTTCTGATTATTTTAATCTGATATTCAGAATTATCTCAGAATAAACCAAACCAAAAGCAGGCTGGACTTTTTTCCATGCTGATACTCTGTCTTCAGATCCCAAAGTCCTTTTTTTTTTTTTTTTTTGAGAGGGAGCGTCACTCTGTGGCTCAGACTCAAGCGCAATGGCATGATCTTGGCTTACTGCAACCTCCACCTCCCAGGTTCACGCGATTCCCCTGCCTGAACCTCCCAAGTAGCTGGAATTACGGGCGTGCACCACCACAACTAACTTTGTATTATTTTTTTTAAAGTAAAGATGGGGTTTCACCATATTGGTCAGGCTGGTCTCAAACTCCTGACCTCGAGTAATCCACCTGCCTCAGCCTCCCAAAGTGTTGGGATTATAGGCGTGAGCCACTGTGCTCAGCCTGATCCCAAATTCTTGAAAACAAAACAAAACAAAACAACATTTGCTCTCTCTCTCAATGTTCAGAAGCACGACCGCGTAGGCTGTGTATTCAGGCTACTGAGTCTTGAACCTGAGACCCTTTCCCCTTGCACTCCCCACCCCACTGCCAACCCCTCCCATCATGCCTGGGCAGCTGTGACGTGGTGAATTGAATATATCCACTGATTTCTAGGATGGAAATCACTACCATAAATGCCACAAGAATATTCACTTTCACGTATGTGAAAATCAGTAGGAAATCTACAAGAAAAAAAATCACAATATTTCATAATGTTTGAACAAAGAGATAACATTTAGTACTCATTGGGAACTCTGGGAAATATCAACAAACTTGAGATTCATCACTGAGTGTAAGTCATTGTGGTTTAGCTGACAGTATAACAATAGCTGCCTCACATTTATAGCATTCAGCTCCAGCCCTGTCATTGTGAAAGAGCATGTTTGTAAAAGTCCAAAGTCAAAGCTGGATGAATTCACCAGAAAAATAGCTATATTTGACCCTGACCTGCTTGTTTGGTGGGTCAGGTTGCACATAACATGGAGCAGGTCTGTTTTCTACACATAGTTGAGCTGTGATGGCTTCCTCTGATTGTGAAGACATTTTGTTACATCTTCTTCAAGGATTGTCTGTTTGAATTTCCAAAGATGATATTTGATTACTCTGCTACATTTTTTTGTCCTCTGTAATGCAGAGGTGTGTTTTTTTTGGTTCTGTTTTTTTTTTTTTTTTTAGATGGAGTCTCTCTCTTGCCCAGGCTGGAGTGCAGTGGCACAATCTTGGCTCACTGCAAGCTCCGCCTCCCGGGTTCACGCCATTCTCCTGCCTCAGCTTCCCGAGCAGCTGGGACTACAGGTGCCTGCCACCACGCCTGAATAATTTTTTGTATTTTTAGTAGAGACGGGGTTTCACCATGTTAGCCAGGATGGTTTCGATCTCCTGACCTCGTGGTCCACCCGCCTCAGCCTCCCAAAGTGCTGGGATTACAGGCTTGAGCCACCGCGCCCAGCCTGTTTTAGTTTTTTAATGGAGACAGGGTCTCACTCTATCACCCAGGCTGGAGTGCAGTGATGCAATCATGGCTTACTGCAGCCTCAACCTCCTGGGCTCAAGCAATCCTCCCATCTCAGCCTCCTGAGTAGCTGAAACTACAGGTGCACACCACCACACCCAGCTGATTTTTGTGTGAGCGTATATTTTGTAGATGTGAGGTTTCACCATGTTGCCCAGGCTGGTCTTGAACTCCTGGACTCAAGTAATCCACCCATGTTGGCCTCCCAAAGTGTTGGGATTACATGTGAGCCACTGTGCCTGGCCAGGTGTGGGTTTGTATCATTTGAGGCCAGAACATAAAGATGTTTCAAAAGAAAAATATTTGAAACTGAATAGCAGTATCACAAGCCAAAAATGGGAAGTTAGAGAGCATGGAACGGATTCTCTCATTGGTTCTTAAGCCATGGAAACGTGGCTTTGCTGTTGAGCCATTTCAGTTCTTTCCTATTCTGTGTTCCTTACCTCTGAAGTTCAAATTCAAATCCATTGCCAGAGTAGAGAAATCGAGAGTAGAGTAGACATGTGACCAGCCACGATAGGTCAATTCCAGTGTAGCAGCTTTTGCTGTTCCTCCCAGGGTGTCTGGGTGTTTTCTGGCGAGGAAGGGGTCTCATCTGGAAGTGGTCTCACGATCACACTAAGATCTGGTGCTGGTATTTCAGGTACAGGCTGGGAAGCACCTTCATATGAGTAATTGTGGCTCCCTCCAAGGTGTAAACAGGGCGAAGAGTGTGTTTGGATATCTGAGCCACCAGGGATGTTAGAGGTTATCTAGCTGGATCCTCTAATTTAAAAGATGATGAAAGTGAGGCTCAGAGTGGTTAAGTCATGTGGCCAAGAGAGGGGAAAAGATGTAGCAGAGTAATTGAATGTCATCTTTGGAAATTCAAATAGACAATCCTTGAAGAAGCTATAAGAAAATATCTTTACAATCAGAAGGAAGGTATCACAGCTCAAATACGTATAGAAAACAGACTTTCTCCACATTAAGTACCATGCCAGGCTGTGGCTAGAGAAGTGGAGTAGGGTCAAGATACAGGGCCGAGGTTGGCGGTAACGATGGAAAATGGACTGAACAGTGTGAGTCGGCAGCGTCGTCATCAACCCCTTCCCTGGCCTGCCTCTTTGACTAACGAGCTGGGTTCATGACTTTTGGCAAATCTCTGTATGCCTCAACGTCCTCATCTGAAAAATGGGAATAACAAATAATACTCACCTATGAGTATGTATGAAGGACTTAGAGCAGTTCCTGGAACACATTAGGTGCTAACTAAGTGCTAGTTACTAGTAGTAGTGTTAAAACAGGTCAGCACAGTGGCTCACACCTGTAATCCCAACACTTTGGGAGGTCAAGTCGGGAGGATCACTTGAGGCCAGGAATTTGAGACCTGGGCAATATAGCAAGACCTGGTCTCTACATATTTATTTTTATTTTTTTAGATGGAGTCTTGCTCTGTTGCCTAGGCTAGAGTGCAGTGGTGCCATGTCAGCTCACTGCAGCCTCTGCCTCATGGGTTCAAGCAATTCTCCTCGCCTCAGCCTCCCGAGTACCTGAGATTACAGGTGCACTCTGCCATGCCCAGCTAATTTTTGTATTTTTAGTAGAGATGGGGTTTCACCGTGTTGGCCAGGCTGGTCTTGAACCCCTGACCTCAGGTGATCCACACGCCCCGGCCTCCCAAGGTGCTAGGATTACAGGCGTGAGCCACCACGCCCGGCCTGAAGTCATTTAAATGAATTGTTTCCCAGACTAATTACACGGCAGGGCACAGAAAGAAGTTCTGAATTGAAAATGCTTGTAAATGATGACTATTAGATTACTTCAGTTTTCAAAAAGGAAAAAATCTAGATTTCTGTAAATATAGATTGGCGAGCTTATAGTAGACTTGATTTAAAAAATGACATGCAGTGATTAAAAAGATGGTTTGAGAAAACTTTTGAAAAGGAAGAAATTTGACACGTGTGTATGGGAGGGGTTTGACGACTGAGGCTCACTAGCTATGGGATGGGGACAAAGTGGAAGCTCACTGGGCACTGAGAATAGGTGTGCAGTGGGAGGGTCCTCACACCAATGAGGACAGAGGAAAGACAGTCCAGGAGGTGGGGGCAAAGGGGGCAGAGTCTGGAAATAAAGCTAGGCAGAGAAGATGGTGTTAAGACCCTCTTGTTTTTTTTGTAGATACTGGGTCTCATTATGTTGCCCAGGCTTGTCTCAAACTTCTGGACTTAACAGATCCTCCTGCACAGGCTTCCCAAAGTGCTGGGATTACAGGCATGAGTCACTCCATGCTGCCAAGGCCTTCATAAGGGTCTCAGGAGGCAACAGGAACCACGTCTTCAGGCATAGCAGATATCGGGCTTGAGTCCAAGCCCGAGACATGGGCCCAGTCCTCGTCAGATATTGAGTCCAAGCCCGAGACATGGGCCCAGTCCTCGTCAGACATTGAGAGGGAGACTAACTTGTCAGCAGCCCCAGGAGCTGGTAACACACACATAACCCATAAACACTTCCCATATGTCATAGCCAGATTCTTCCCTTGGATTTTAGAGCTTGCAAATGGCAAGGGGCCATTTACTGCCTGAAGAATTGGTGGTGACACAGTGCTTGGTTGAACATTAAGTTGAGCTAATTTTACTCCTCTTTGCTGTGCTGTTTCTAAACTGGCAGATCCAGATTCGATAAGCATAGATCGACTGTAATGTGTTTATCATGGATGAGGTAGGAAATGAAAATGGAATGAATTTTTATCTGGTTAATTATAGAACCAGTTGTTTGAACAAATCCAACCAGAAAAGCATTGATGACTACAATGATGTTAACTTGAAGAAATTAATTTAGTGGTAAGAAACAGGGCCCTAGAATTCACTAAAGTGGTTCAAATGAAATATGCTTGAAATAAACATGAATGGTGAAAAAGAAGGTATGCTGAATATAAATTCTAGAAGTGCTACAGAAAAGTCTCAGTGCATTCTCCAGTGTAGACCATACCTAAAACATCACATTCAATTCTGAGTGGAATATTATATAAAAGATTTTACTAAATTAAACCATTGAAGGTGGGTCAGGATAGAGATTCAAAACTGTTGCACAAGAATATGCTATTAATACACAGTTCAAGAAAAATGAGAAGGTGAGGTAAGTATGGCAATGATCCACGTGCGAGGCCTGAGGAGGTTCGTTACGGGGTTATTTTTCTATGGAGACTTCAGGCTGGAATTAAGGAATAAAGTCAGAATCTGGGAAAAGAAATCAGAAGTTTGAAGAATGTGCCAGTCTATGTGGCAGAAGAATGCGTGAGGTCCACACTGTGCAAACAAGGCTGTGGCAGAGGGCGTTCAAGTGAGTGAAGCCAGGCCATTCTGGCCGTTCTGGAACTCACCCCATGAGTGCTGGGCACCTGCCAGCACATTCCTTTGAGGTGCAGTGAGGCAGGATTCATTGGGCCAGGACAAGCTTCTCCTGGTAGTCAGTTGGGCCAAACTGCCCTGTGAAGCTGGGCTTAATCACTGTATTTCTAGAGGGTTATTGCCTCTAGAATGCTTCAATTATTGACTGCTGCACAACTTAGTGTTTCAAAGCAACAGTTTAATCTCTCTCCTGAGTCTGTGGGTTGACTAGTTTCAGATGGATGGTTCTTCTGCTGCATGGTCTGTTGGCTGGGCCCATGGTCAGCAGAGGTTCGGCTAGGGAATAACATCCAACTCAGTTCACATGGCTGGCCATTGGTGCTGTTGACAGGGAGCACAGCTGGGGCTGCTGACCAGAGCACCTCGGTTCTCCTCTGCATGGCCTCCCCACATGACCTAGCCTTCTCCCCACATGGCTGAGGTTCAAGAAGGGGCATTCTCAGTGTGCAGAAATGAAGTTGTCTATCTTGCAAGGCCCATCATTTGGAAATTACACTGTTGCACTTCTGTTGGGCAAATCGAGTCTCAAGGACAGCCATGATTCAAGGGGAGGGGCAGGCAATAAACCCCACCTCTGATTAGAAGAATGGCAAGGAATTTGGGACCATCTTTAATCCACTACAAGGAAAGTGGGGCATGGAAATGGCATAAGGAAATGGGGTTTTAGAGATTCTGAGTCAAAAATGAAAATCATCATCTAACAAATATTATGTTATTAAAGATGATGAGAAATGACACATGTAAAGATCTTTATAATAACTGGAACAGAACAAATTCCCATTAAATAGCTATTAATAATATTATTATTATTAGTGTTTCTGCTATTGAAGTGTCTAAACAGAGGCTGTAAGACCAGATTTTAGGAAGGGAATGAAGGGATTCTTGCATTGGAGATGGAGGCTATTGAAAGATGAATTCTAGGGACTGTGAAGTTTCCATAATTCAACAGAAAGCTAGAAAAAGCCTTCCTCCCATTACCGTCTTGCCTCAGAGCACCTCTCTCCTCTTGTTTAGGTTTCTTCTTCCTTTATTTGGAGAGTCCATTTGAGATAAACTTTGAAAAGAAGGCAGCATAAAATGCAGACCAACAAGAGAAGAATTTTGAGTCAGTGTGGTTCTAGGGTATTCTTTAAGTTATAGCAATAAGAAAAACAAAAAAAATTGGCCCTTTAAAACATGTATGGCATTATTTTTTATATAGGACCTGATCTATATAAACAAACTTACCATAATTTGTTTCTTCTAGATAGAAACTAGGTTGTTGGCCGGGTGCGGTGGCTCAAGCCTGTAATCCCAGCACTTTGGGAGGCCAAGGTGGGTGGATCATGAGGTCAGGAGATTGAGACCATCCTGGCTAACACGGTGAAACCCCATCTCTACTAAAAATACAAAAAATTAGCCAGGCATGATGGCGGGCACCTGTAGTCCCAGCTACTCAGGAGGCTGAGGCAGGAGAATGGCGTGAACCTGGGAGGCGGAGCTTGCAGTGAGCCAAGGTGGTGCCACTGCACTCCAGCCTGGACGACAGAGCAAGATTCTGTCTCAAAAAAAAAAAAAACAAAAAACAAACTAGGTTGTCAATTTATCTGCACAGTGGGCTCCTATTTCTTGAGTATTACTCTGTGTCTATATAGACAAGAAAAAAATATCATGCTTGAAATCACAACTGATTGAAGCTGCTTTTGTCTTTAAGGAAGGGGTATATCATCTCTCCAGAAAATCCAATTCTGTATATAGAATATTATATCGCAGCAGTCCTTGTTTGCCATGCATGGATTTACGTTACTACGATTTAGTTAAATGACACTAGTCCACCAACAACATGGTTTAAGTTTCAATTACTGTAGCATGTCCATGTGAGGAATTGCACAGAGCACACACTTGGCTACCAGCCCTCTCATCCAAAAATCACTGTGTGAATAGCAGATGCCGATGATGCATCTGCTATTTGCATAGAAGCATGATTGGTGACCAATGGCCTCACAGCTTCTCATTCTTTTCCCAGTCTTGGTCACTGCACATCTGTTCTTGGGTTCATGCACAGACAGCAAAGTATGTACTTGTGCTTCTTCCTTATCTCCCAGTGATAAACTCATGTGACACTTTACAAAAATGGATAACTGAAAGAGAGAATGGCTAATAAAAATGAAAGTCCCTAAGAAAACTGACAATGCTGGGAGTAAAATTTGAGTTTGATCATAAATGTAGTTATAGAAGAAATAGCTGACCAGGGGAAGGTTGACATTGCCCCTACCCTGCCCCCACTTCAAGACTCTAGGTGTGCAGCCAGAGAGACTTTGAGAAGGTGAATTTACTGACAGAAATAACGAAAGTGGTTGTGATGAAAAGTATGATGTCTTGGAGAAAGCAAGCCAAAGAACACCAGCAAAAAACACATTGTAAAAAAGTTCTGAAGATATTTGACCACTGAAAACACACACACACACACACACACACACACACACACACACACACTGGAAGTGGATTCAAACTTAGAAAGGGGTAGGACAATTTCTTGAGGCATAAACAAGTTGCTCACTTAGGATCCAAAATTGTACAACGAGAAGAAAATGAGCCCTTCTCAAACTACTATGAATAAGTTTTTAAACAAATATATAAAGTACTTTAATTCTTAATATTTTAATATATGGTTTTTTAAATAGTTTTATCATTTAAAAAATTTTCTATGCATTTATAACTGACAGGAACAAAGCTTTTAATATTTTGAAAACGATTTAAAGATCAGTTTATAATTGTAATTTATCCTGTTGATTAAAATTAGTTTGCACAACATCTGCCTCAATGATGATGTTTACAGCACCATAACACAAAGTGAGAACTTAACCTGTGCATGTGAGTGTGTGTGTGCATGTATAAATACAAAAGTAAAAATAAACACACATACACCCTTGATTTGTGATAAAAGATGAGTTCCACTTTGGAATATTTTAGAACCATGAGGTGAACTTCCACCAGGGTTCATTTGGGAAATTTATGGGGTTATTTTTTTGGTTGCTATGATGATTGAAAGACTGATAGCATTTGGTGAGTGAAGTCAAGAATGCTAAATGTCCTGCTATGCACAGGACAAGACTTAAAAATAAAGAATTGTCTTTAGTAACACAAAACATATGAGTGCTGATGTGGCTTGGCTGTGTCCCCACCCACATCTCATCTTGAATTCCCACCTGTTGTGGGAGGAACCCAGTGGGAGGTAATTGAATGATGGGGGCAGATCTTTCCTGTGCTGTCCTCATGATAGTGAGTAAGTCTCACACTATCTGATGGTTTTAAAAAGGGAAGTTTCCCTTCACAAGCTCATTTCTTGCCTGCTGCCATCCATGTAAGATGTGACTTGCTCCTCCTTGTCTTCCACCATGATTGTGAGGCTTCCAGCTACATGAAACTGTAAGTCCAATTAAACCTCTTTCTTTTGTAAATTGCTCAGTCTCAGTCTGGTATATCTTTATCAGCAGCATGAAAATGGACTAATACAGCAAATTGGTACCAGAAGTGGTATGCTGCTGAAAAGATACCCGAAAAAGTAGAAGTGACTTTGAAACTGGGTAACAGGCAGAGGTTGGAAGAGTTTGAGGGGCTCAGAAGAAGACAGGAAAATGTGGGAAAGTTTGGAACTTTCTAGAGACTTGTTGAATGGCTTTCAACCAAAATGCTGTAGCTATATGGACAATAAAGCCCAGGTTGAGGTGGTCTCAGATGGAAATGAGGAAGTTGTTGGGAACTTGAGCAAAAGTGACTCTTGCTATATTTTAGCAAAAAGACTGGTGGCATTTTGCCCCTGCCCTAGAGATTTGTGGAACTTTGAACTTGAGAGAGATGATTTAGGCTATCTGGCAGAAGAAATTTCTAAGCAGCAAAGCATTCAAGAGGTGACTTGGATGCTGTTAAAAGCATTAAGTTTTATAAGGGAAGTAGAGCATAAAAGTCTGGAAAATTTGCAGTCTGACAATGCAATAGAAAAGGAAATTCCACTTTCTGGGGAAAAATTCAAGCTGGCTGCAGAAATTTGCATAAGTAACAAGAAGCCTAATGTTAATCCCCAAGACAATGTGGAAAATGTTTCCAGGGCAGGTCAGAGGTCTTCACAGCAGCCTCTTCCATCACAGGCCTAGAGGCCTAAGAGGAAAAAATGGTTTTGTGGGCCAGGCCCAGGGTCCCCATGCTGTGTGCAGCCTAGGGACTTGGTGCTCTGTGTCCCAGCCACTCCAGCTGTGGCTGAAAGGGGCTAATCTAGAGCTTAGGCCATGGCTTCAGAGGGTGCAAGCCCCAAGCCTTGGCAGCTTCCACATAGTGTTGAGCCTGCAAGTGCACAGAAGTCAAGAATTGATGTTTGGGAACCTCCCTCTAGATTTCAGAAGATGTGTGGAAATGCCCGGATGCCCAGGCAGAAGTTTGCTGTAGGTGTGTTGTCCTTGTGGAGAACCTCTGCAAGGGCAATAAGACAGGGAAATGTGGGATGGGAGGTGCCTACTGGGTATCCACCTAGTGGAGCTGTTGAGAAGAGGGCCACAGTCCTCCAGACCCTAGAATGGTAGACCCACCTACAGCTTGCACTGTGTGCCTGGAAAAGCCGCAGACACTCAACACCAGCCCATGAAAGCAGCTGGGAGGGTGGCTGTACCCTGCAAAGCCACGGGGATGGAGCTGCCCAAGGCCATGGGAACCCACCTCTTGCATAAACGTTACTCAGATGCATGACATGGAGTCAAAGGAGATCATTTTGGAACTTTAAGATTTGACTGCATTGCTGGATTTTGGATTTGCATGGGGCCTGTAGTGCCTTTGTTTGGCTAATTTCTCCCATTTGGAATGGCTATATTTACTCAATGCATATACCTGCATTGTATCTAGGAAATAACTAACTTGCTTTTGATTTTACAGGCTCATAGGCAGGCGGTACTTGCCTTGTCCCAGATGGGACTTTGGACTGTGGACTTTTGAGTTGATGCAGAAGTGAGTTGAGACTTTGGGGGACTGCTGGGAAGGCATGATTGGTATTGAAATGTGAAGATATGAGATTTGGGAGAGGCCAGGGGTGGAATGATATGGTTTGGCTCTGTGTCCCCACCCAAATCTCATCTTGAATTCCTATGTGTTGTGGGAGGAACCTAGTGGGAGGTAATTGAATCATGGGGGCAGGTCCTTCCCATGCTGTTCTTGTGATAGTGAATAAGTCTCATGAGATCTGATGGTTTTAAAAAGGGGAATTTCCCTGCACAATTGCTCTCGTCTTTTGCCTGCCACCATCCACGTAAGATGTGACTTGCTCCTCCTTCCTTTTCACCATGATTGTGGGGCTTTCCCAGCCACATGAAACTGTAAACCCAATTAAACCTCTTTCTTTAGCAAATTGCCCAGTCTCATGTATGTCTTTATCAGCAGTGTGAAAACAGACTAATACAAGTGCCTTGCCAGATATTGTGTAAGTGTAAGTGAAAGGCAGGTTAAAAATTCTTTGGTCCTATAACCTAATTCTGTTTCACATAATATTTTTGAAATGTTTTAATATACTATCTTAGGGTGGGCTGCTATAACAAAAATACCACAAACTGAGTGGTTTAAACAACAAACATTTATTGCTCACAGCTCTGGAGGCTGGGAAGTCCAAGATCAAAGTGCTGGCAGATCTGGGATCTGGTGGGGGCTCCCTTCCCAGCTTGCAGATGGCTGCCTGCTGGTTGCATCCTCACATGGTGGAGAAAGCAAGAGCTAGTGTCTTTTTCTTTTTCTTCTTCTTTTTTTTTTTGAGATGGAGTCTTGCTCTGTCACCCAGGCTGGAGTGCAATGGTGCAATCTCTGCTCACAGGAAGCTCCGCCTCCCGGGTTCATGCCATTCTCCTGCTTCAGCCTCCCGAGTAGCTGGGACTACAGGTGCCTGTCACCAAGCTCGGCTAATTTTTTTGTATTTTTAGTGGAGATGGGGTTTCACTGTGTTAGCCGGGATGGTCTCGATCTCCTGACCTCGTGATCTGCCTGCCTCAGCCTCCCAAGGTGCTGGGATTACAGTAATCCCATCATGAGGATTTAATCCTCCTGAACTCACCTAAACATAATCACCTTTCCAAAACCCCATCTAGTATCATTCCACTGGGAGTAAGGTTTCAACATGGGAATTTTGGGAAGACACAAACATGCAATCTATAGCATATACATTGAATTTTGAGGGAATGCAAAGACTGAGTAAATCAAGGTTAATTGTACTTTGAATCAAGAAATGTTCACCACTTGAAAAAAGTAACATCACAGTTGCCACTGTTGCTCTTAGGGTACATGAGTAACCCATACCCCATATCTCTGTTAGTCTGAATTTGTAGTGTTG
This sequence comes from Homo sapiens, assembly GCF_000001405.40. NCBI lineage: Eukaryota > Metazoa > Chordata > Mammalia > Primates > Hominidae > Homo > Homo sapiens. The sequence continues at coordinate 7,690,382 of NC_000010.11, read as the reverse complement.
CAGGCATGGTGATCCGTATTTGTTGGTAACCATCCGACTCCTTCATAATGTCTTCTCCTGTGGTTATGCCCAAGTATGTGACTATTAAAAATCATATTTTATTATGGACATGTCCTCCTTTATATTACAATTAAAAATTTATATTCAATTTTTAAAATCATGTGTCTAGATAAGGTACATTATCTATTAATTTTATTTTTGGGGTAGCAGAGGTAGTGTCAAAATATTTATTATAAAAAACAGGACATTAGATCTGACACAGTTGAGAACAATTGGTTCAAGAGGAGACAAAAAGACAAAGGAATTGCTAAAATGTTTTGTGTGCTGTAGGAGTTGAGGGTAGAAGAGACAAAAGGAGTGTGGAAGGGTTGTTTTGGCAATGAGAATGGTGGGCAAAAAAATCTTTAAAAGCAAGAATGAATAATGCCTAATTAAAAAATGCTTCCTATATTCCAAGATGTCTTTAGTGAGTAGTATTTTGGAGAATTAAAAAACAAGAGAGTCATATTCCATGGCTCTATCTGTGCAGGCAAGACACACACAGAGAGAATTACTTTGGGAAGTGTATTAGTCAGCATAGGCTAGGCTATGTCCTGGTAACAAACAATCCCCAAATCTCAGTGGCTTAAACAACAAAAGCTTGCTTTTTCTTGGACATACTCCTTATCCATTTTTGTTGGGCCAAGGGCTCTGCTCTGTGTGGCCCTCACTCCAGTGGCCCAGGCTGAAAGAGGCAAGGCATGTGGCAGGGAGCAGGGAAACATGGAGGAGCACATGGGTTGAATGCTTCTACCTGGAAGTGTTGCATGGCGTTTTCATTTGTAGTTCATTGGCCACCACAAGGCGCATGGCCATGCTTAATTTCAAGAGGGTGGGGGATTGCAATCTTCCCTGTGCCTGGAAGTAGAAGGAAACCAGATCTTGGTATAGGATAACAGCAGCCACTGAAGGAGAGTGCTGAGGTTGGGAGTTGAACATGAAAGAAAGTCAAAGTGACCATTAGAATAAGCCCCAGAAATTGCAAGAATCTTGGGGAGGCCCTTGAACTTGCTGCCAAGCTCAGATTAGCACATTCAAATAGCATTTGCATAGATAACAAAGGTGAGTGGCTTTAGCTGAGGAAGGGTCACTATGCATCACATATTTATACTTTCTTTTTTTTCAACTTTTATTTTAAGTTCAGGGGTACATGTGCAGGATGTGCAGGTTTGTTACGTAAGTAAACATGTGCCATAGTGGTTTACTATACAGATCATCCCATCACCTAGGTATTAAGCCCAGCATCCATTAGCTATTCTTCCTGATGTGCTCCCTCCTCCCATCCCCCACCCTCCAACAGACCCGTGTGTGTGTTGTTCTCCCGGCCATGTGTCCATGTGTTCTCATCATTCAGCTCCTACTTATGAGTGAGAACATGCAGCATTTGGTTTTCCGTTCCTGCGTTAGTTTGCTGAGGACAATGGCCTCCAGTTCCATCCACATCCCTGCAAAGGACATGATTTTGTTCCTTTTTATGGCTGCATAGTATTCCATGGTGTATATGTACCATACTTTCTTTATCTAGCCTATCATTGATGGGTATTTAGGTTGATTCCATGTCTTTGCTATTGTGAATAGTGCTGCAATGAACATACACGTGCATGTTTCTTTATAATAGAATTATTTATATTCCTTTGGGTATATACCAAGTAATGGGACTGCTGGGTCAAATGGTATTTCTGCCTCCAGGTCTTTGAGGAATCGTCACACTGTCTTCTACAGTGGTTGAACTAATTTACACTCCCACCAGCAGTGTAAAAGCTTTCCTTTTTCTCCACAACCTCAACAGCATCTGTCGTTTTTTTGAGTTTTTTTCTTTTTTTCTTTTTGAGACAGAGTCTAACTCTGTCACCCAGTTGGGAGTGCCTCAGCCTCAGACTCCCAAGTAGCTGGGATTACAGGCATGTGCCACCAGGCCCGACTAATTTTTGTATTTTTAGTAGAGAGTGGGTTTCACTATGTTGCTCAGGCTGGTCTCGAACTCCTGACCTCAAATGATCCTCCTGCCTAAGCCTCCCAAAATGCTAGGATTAAAGGTGTGAGCCACTGTGCCCTGCCGTTTTTTTGACTTTTTAATAATTGCCATTCTGACTGGTGTGAGATGATATCTCATTGTGGTTTTGATTTGCATTTATCTAATCGTCAGTGATGTTGAGCTTTTTTCATATGTTTGTTGACCGCATGTATGTCTTTTTTTAAGAAGTGTCTGTTCATGTCCTTTGCCCACTTTTTAATGGAGTTTTTTTTCTTGTAAATTTGTTTAAGTACCTTGTAGTTGTTGAATGTTAGATATTTGTCAGATGGATAGATTGCAAAATTTTTCTCCCATTCTGCAGGCTGTCTGTTCACTCTGATGATAGTTTCTTTTGCTGTGCAGAAGCTCTTCAGTTTTGTTAGATCCCACAGACATTTGTGCTTTCCATGACAACTTGCAGCCTCTCCGGAGGCACCAGGCAGTGACCCTGACTCTGCCGGGAGCCCCTTCCTCACATCGTGTAGAAAGTAAGTCTTTGTGGTCAATGGATGAGGAGAGTGCGCTCTTCTAGAATCACAGAGGGTGTTTTCCTTCCTCACATCGTGTAGAAAGTAAGTCTTTGTGGTCAATGGATGAGGAGAGTGCGCTCTTCTAGAATCACAGAGGGTGTTTTCCGTAGGAAGCTGCTGTGTGGACTCAGGAACAAGGGGCAGCAACCTGGGAGAGTTTGGGAAAATAATTTTAGAGCAGCCACTTATTGGGGGAAACATTCTGGTTTTACTCAGTGTCTGTTGTTACTTTCATGTGGCTGTTGGATGGTGCCCCTATGAGACTCCCATAATTAAGCAAATCCCTTGAAGCGGTCTTCAAAGTGTGTCTCCGCTAGATGGCGTGAGGTGCTCGCCTGTTTCCAGCTGATGGAAGTGACTTGAGCTAAGCCAGGGACCAGGAACTTGAAGGTAAAACAGCGCCTCACGCTGCGGGCTGATGAAATATGCAGTCGGCGGATGTAAAGGACTACGTCGTACTAGAATAATAATACAATACGGGGGCTTTATTGCAGTGGTATTAAATAAATACACACCCAATATCACTAGAGGCAATGAAGTAGTTTTTCCTTTCCAAAAACATAGTCGTGTAACTGTTATTATAGATTGATTCTGATACAAAATGTGCACACAGAATGAATATTTAAGGGTAATTCATTTATAAGGTGTTATTCAGAAACGGCACTTACAAAACAGAAGATGTAGATACTTATTACAGGAAACTAAGCAGCCAATCAACCAATCGGTATGTACCGAATATTTCTGCAGGCAGTGCACGTTGTTACACTGTACGGCAGGTGAGACAGTGTACACTGTGGTTAAGAGTACAGTCTTTGAGGCCAGACAGACTGAGTTTGTATTATTTATTAGCTATGACCTTGGGCACATTGCTGCATCTCTCTGGGCATCAGTTTCCTTGTCCGTAAAACGGGAATAATCATACCTATCTCATAGGGTTATTGTAAAGAGTCAGTCTTTGTAAAGCATTTCAAATATAGCCTTGAACACAGTTAAGAGCTATACAAGTGTCAGTCATCATTATAATTGTTTGTTATGACGTGGCTCTTCACTTTACAAAGGAACTCATTCACTGTAGGGTTCAATGGAACAAAAATGTGTCAAGTACCTATTATGTGCTAGACAGGACATTGATCACTGTGGACAGATCAAAGGACTATGAGAGCGGCTAAGGCGTGGCTCCTGTCTTACAGGATCTAGGAATTTCATAGGGCAGAAGGATCACACAGTTAACTAACCATGCAGAAATGCAAAGGGTGATGGTACTGATACAAATGACTGTGACAATCTGGAAAGGAGGAAATAGTGTTTGAGTAGAGCTTGCAAAAATGGGCAGGGTTCAGTGAGTGGAGGTGCCAGGAAGCGTTTTCAATGGGAGCAGTATGAGCAAAGGCTCCCAGGCCGGGCCATGTGGGCACTTTCGTAAGGTCTGCAGAAGGCTGGAATGACTGAAGTGTGGAGACTCATGGGAAGATATGACTGAAAGTATGTCTCCATAATGACCACTTCAATCATCTTAAACATTTGAAAACTTTTTTTTTCATTTATTCCTCCTACTTTTTATTTCCTGGATTATTTTTAATTTTTAAAATTTTTAATCATTAATTGTTTTAGAGACGGGATCTTGCTGTGTCACCTAGACTGGAGTGTAGTGGCATGATCATAGCTCACTGCAGCCTCAAATTCCTGGGCTCCAGTGATCCTCCTGCCTCAGCCTCCTGAGTAGCTGGGACTACAGGTGCACATCACCACACCTGGCTAAATTTTTGTTGCTGTTGAGACAGGGTCTTGCTATGTTGTCCAGGCTGGTCTCCAACTCCTGGCCTCAAGCAGTCCTCCTGCCTCCACCTCTCTAGGACCTGGGTCTATATGTGTGAGCCTGGGTGCCCAGCTTTTCCTGAAGTATGTTAAAGTAAATTCCAGATATTGAATCATTGCACTTATAAACACTCAAGATGTAGCCTCAACTGAGAATATCTTTTTATGTAACCACAACACCATTATTACAGCTTACATAATGAATCATATTTCCTTAATATTACCTATTTCAAGTGGTTTTTGATTTGTTTTTAAGAGCAAGAAGACAATCCTAGTGATATCGTAAAAAGATTAGAGAGGAGAAAAATCAGAAGAGAAACTAGTTAGGAGGTCATTGTGATAGCTTTTTGTTAAAAGCTTTAGTTTTAGACTTTGGCAGTGCACAAAGCAAAAGAGATGGCTGAAAAGCAGCAAGAAGCCAAGATTGGATGGGAGGGAAGTTTTTTGTTTTGTTTTGTTTTGTTTTAGATGGAGTCTCGCTCTGTCACCCAGGCTGGAGTGTGGTGGAGGGATCTCGGCTCACTGCAACCTCCGCCTGAGCCTCCTGAGTAGCTGGGATTACAGGTGTGTGCCACCATGCCCAGCTAATTTTTATATTTTTAGTAGAGTTGGGGTTTCACCATGTTGGCCAGGGTGGTCTCGAACTCCTGACCTCAGGTGATCCACCCGCCTTGGCCTCCCAAAGTGCTGGGATTACAGGTGTGAGCCTCCATGCCTGGCCAGGGGGGAGTTTTAAGAGTGAGGGAGCATAAACTGAGGAACAGAGGGGAGCTAGAGAAGGGCAGGAAGATTTAATGGACTTTATTAGGAATTTAAATTGTATGGCTCCATTTAGACAGAATTGGCATATGCATTATTAGGGACAGAGATGCATTGTTTTATTTTTTAATTTCAACTTTTATTTTAGCTTCAGTGGGTACATGTGCAGGTTTGTTACCTGGATATATTGTGTGATGCTGACGTTTGGTGTTTGAGTGATCCCATCACCAAGGTACTGAGCATAGGTAGTTTTGGGTCCTAGTTCCCCTCCTTCCCTCCTGCCTCTAGTAGTCCCCCATGTCTATTGTGTCCTCAATGTTTAGCTCCCACTTATAAGTGAGAACATGTGATATTTGGTTTTCTGTTCCTGTGTTAGTTTGCTTAGGATAATGGCCTCCAGCTCTATCCACGTTGCTGCAAAGAACATGATTTCTTTCTTTTTTATGGCTGTGTAGTATTCCATGGGGTGTATGTACCACATTTTCTTTATCCAATCCACCACTGATGGGTACCTAGGTTGATTCTGTCTTTGCTTCTCTGAATAACACTTTGATAAACATACAAGTGCATATGTCTTTTTGGTAGAACGATTTATTTTGGATATATACCTAGTAATGGGATTGCTGGGCTGAATGGAGGTTCTATTTAAAGCTCTTTGAGAAATCTCCAAAATGCTTTCCACAGTGGCTGAACTAATTTACATTTCTGCCAATAGTGTATACGTGTTCCCTTTTCTCCACAACCTCACCAACATCTGTAATTTTTGGACTTTTTATCAAAAGTCATTCTGACTGGTGTGAGGCGGTATCTCATTGTGGTTTTAATTTGCGTCTCTCTAAAGATCAGTGATGTTGAGCCTGTTTTTCATGTTTGTTGGCTGCTTGTATATCTTCTTCTGAGAAGTATTTGTTCATGTCCTTTTCCCACTTTTAAATGGGGTTATTTGATTTTTGCTTGTTTAATTGTTCCTTATAGATTCCAGATATTAGCCCTTTGTCAGATGCACAGTTTGTGAATATTCCCTCTCGTTCTGTAGCTTGTCTGTTCACTCTGTTGATAGCCTGTTTACTCTGTTGATCGTTTATTTTGCTGTGTGGAAGCTCTTTAGTTTAACTAGGTCCCAATGTCATTTTTTGTTTTCACTGAATTGCTTCTGAGGACTTAGTCATAAATTGTTTGACAACGCTGATGTCCAGAATAATATTCCCTAGGTTTTCTTCTGGGATTTTAATAATTTGTGGTCATACATTTAAGTCTTTAATTCATCTAGAGTTAATTTTTGTGTATGGTGAAAGGTAAGGGTCCAGTTTCAATCTTCTGCATGTGACTAGCCAGTTATCTCATTACCATTTGTTAAATAGGGAGTTTTTTTCCTCATTGCTTGTTTTTGTCAGCTCTGTCAAAGATCAGGCAGTTGTAGGTGCATAGCTTTATCTCTGTGTTCCCTATTCTGTTCCACTGGTCTATTTGTCTATTTTTATACCAGCACTGTGCTGTTTGGTTACTGTAGCCCTGTAGTATAGTTTGAAGTTGGGTAATGTGATGCCTCCAGCTTTGTTTTGCTTAGGGTGGCCTTGGCTATTTAGACTCTTTTTTGGTTCCATATGAATTTTAGAATACTTTTTTCTATTTCAGTGAGAAATGATCTTGGTAGTTTCTTAGGAATAGTGTTGACTCTATCTTGCTTTGGGCAGTATGGCATTTTAATGATATTGATTCTTCCAATCCATGAGCATGGAATGGTTTTCCATTTTTTAATATCATCTACGATTTCTTTCAGCAGTGTTTTGTAGTTCTCCTTGTAGACATCTTTCACCTCCTTGATTAAATGTATTCCTAGGTATTTTGTGTGTGTGTTTGTGTGTGTGTGTGTGTGGCTACTGTAAATGGGACGTGTTCTTGCTTTGGCTGTCAGCTGGAGTATTGGTGTATAGAAGTGCTACTGATTTTTGTACACTGATTTTGTATCCTGCAACTTTACTGAAGTTGCTTATCAGTTCTAGGAGCCTTTTGGTGGAGTTGTGAGCATTTTCTAGGTATAGAATTGTATCATCGGCAAAGAAAAATCATTTGACTTCTTTTCCTATTTTGATGTCTTTAATTTATTTCTCTTGCCTTATTGCTCTGGCTAGGACGTCCAGTACTATGTTGAATAGGAGTGGTGAGAGTGGGTATCCTTGTGTTGTTCAAGTTCTCAAGGGGAATGTTTCCAGGTTTTACCCATGCAGCATGATGTTGGTTGTGGGTTTGTCATAGATGGCTCTTATTATTGAGGTATGTTCCTTCAATGCCTAGGTTGTTGAGGGCTTTTAATCATGAGGAGATGCTGGATTTTATTGAAAGCTTTTTCTGCATCTATACAGATAATCATATGGTTTTTGTTTTTAATTTTTTTTGTATGGTGAATGACATTTATTAATTTCCACATGTTGAACCAACCCTGCATTCCAGGAATAAACCATACTTGATCGTGGTGAATTAACTTTTTGATGTGCTGTTGGATTTGGTTCACTAGCATTTTGTGGAGGATTTTTGAATCTATGTTCATCAGGGATATCTGCCTATAGTTTTCTTTTTTGTGTGTGTCTTTGCCAGATTTTGGTATGAGAATGATGCTGGCTATGTAGAATGTGTTTTAAAATAGTTTCAGTAGAATAAGAATAGGTACCAGCTCTTTGTAGAATTCTTCTATGTCTGGCAGAATTCAGCTGTGAGTCCATCAGGTTCAGGGCTCCTTTTTGTTGGTAGGTTTCTTACTACAGATTCAATTTGGGAGCTTGATCTTGGTCTGTTCAGGGTTTCAATTCCTGATCCAGTTTTGGAAGGTTGTGTGTTTCCAGGAATTTATCAATTTCTTCAAAAATTTCCAGTTTGTGTGCATGGAGATATTCATAATAGTCCCTGGGGATTCCTTCCTTCCTTCCTTCCTTCCTTCCTTCCTTCCTTCCTTCCTTCCTTCCTTACTTCCTTCCTTCCTTCCTTCCTTCCTTCCTTCTTCCCTCCCTCCCTCCCTTCTGTCTTTCTTTCTTTCTTTCTGTCTCTCTTTCTTTCCTTCCTTCCTTTCTTAATTTCTTTCTTTCTTTCCTTCCTTCTTTTCTTTTCTTTCCCTTCCTTCCTTCTTCTCTCTCTTTCTTTCTTTCTTTCTTTTCCTTTCTTTCCTCTCTTTCTTTCTTTCCTCTCTCTTTCTTTCTTTCTTTCCCTCCCTCCCTCCCTCTTTCTTTCTTTCTTTATTTCTTTCTTTCTTTCTTTCTTTCTTTCTTCCTTTCTTTCTTTCTTTCTTTTCTTCCTTCCTACCTTCCTTCCTACCTTCTTTTCTTCCTTCCTTCCTTCCTTCCTTCCTTTCTTTCTTTCTTTCTTTCTTTCTTTCTTTCTTTCTTTCTTTCTTTCTTTCTTTTCTTTCTTTTCTTTCTTTTCTTTCTCTGTTGCCCAGGCTGGAGTTCAGTGGCAAGACCTTGGCTCACTGCAACCTCAGTCTCCTGTGCTCAGGAAATCCTCTCACCTCAGCCTCCCAAATAACTAGGACTACAGACATGCACCACCGTGTTAAGCTAATTTTTTTTTGTATAGATAGGGCCTCATTTTGTTGCCCAGGCTGGTCTTGAACTCCTGGGCTCAAGTGATCCTCCCAAAGCACTGGAATTACAGGCATGAGCCAACACGCCCACTGGGATCTTTTTTATTTTTGGAACACGGCCACATTGAAAAAGATTGTGTCATGTCACAAATTCTGAAACCTGACATTAAACAAATGCATGGATGTACACACACACGCACACATAGGCTTAAATTCGTAGGGCTTAAATAGTATTTTGGGAAGAAGAAGAAAAACAAAGTAAGCCTACCTTAGTCTGCCACTTATTAGCCATGTGAGGTTGGGCAAGTTCTTAACCTCTCATTGTCTCTGCTGATCTGTAAAGTCAGGATAATCACAGCCTCTACCTTGTACGGTTGTTGAGAGGATTAAATGAGTTAATGTTAGTAAAGCACTTAGAATGATGCCTTGCAGACGTAAGCAAAATAGAAGTGTTTGCTATCATTAGCATGCAAACTCTCGCTGCCTTTATTGTGCATTGTGGACTTAATTGATGTACGCATTTAATTTCAATTAAAGTCCCTGGATGCAGCCATGTAGACCTCTTTTAGGGTTTCTCTACATCTTAGGAATTAACATCATCAACAAGACATTTAAGATATTTTAGTAGAATAACACATTTGCATCTGGGAATTGCAGGGACAAATATCTTCAATAAATTAAAAAATCTTGAACTGCTTTGAAGATTTCATTCCACAAAAGAACTGTCCTCATTTAAAGAATGTTCATGCCATTGAAGCTCATTATTTGCTGCTGCAAGCCCCTATTAGACGGGCTGCCACTGTGGAGCTCAACCATCAGATTGTCTCAGAAAACACACTATTCTATTATTTTCCATTTTTCTCTATATCTCCATCCCAGCCTACTTGCAATTGTTGCAAATTTTAAATTCCGAATTACTGTGTCAGTTCACTGTATTAGCACTATTGAAGTATGAGAGATGGGTTTTTCTTTTGTTTTTAAAAATACTTTTTAAACATTGAGGCAAAATTTATATAACATCAAGTTAGCCATTTTATTTATTTTCATTTTTTATTTTAAAAGTATGATTTTTTTTTTTTTGAGACAGGTCTTGCTGTCACCCAGGCTGGGATGCAGTGGCACTATCTCAGCTCACTGCAACTTCTGCTTCCCAGGTTCAAATGATTCTCCTGCCTCGCCTCCAGAATAGCTGGGATTACAGGTGCCTGCCACCACGCCCAGCTAATTTTTTTTTTTTTTTAAAGTAGAGACGGGGTTTCACTATATGTTGTCCAGGTTGGCCTCGAACTCCTGACCTCAGGTGATCTGCCTGCCTTGGCCTCCCAAAGTGCTGGGATTACAGGCATGAGTCACAGCGCCCAGGCAACAAGTTACTCATTTTAAAGTGAATGATTCAGTGGCATTTAATACCTTCACAATGCAGTGCAGCCACCAGCTCTACTGAGAATGGAGAAATTTAACACAGAATTCAGAAGAAGCATTGTGGTTCCCAGAGTCCTTGGCTTATACACTGACCAGCATTAGGCTGGGAGCCCTCAGTGGGGGTGGGTGGGTCTCTTCTTTTTGGTCTCCTCACTCCGAGTCCTCCTCCCTTTTACCAGGTGATATGTTTTCGATTTGTTTCCCCACCCAAATCTCATGTTGAAATGTAATCCTCAGTGTTGGAGGTAGGGCCTTGTGGGAGGTGATTGGATCATGGGGGTGGATTTCTCATGAATGGTTTAGTCCCATCCCCTTGGTACTGTCCTAGCTCCTGCTCTGGCCATGTGACGCACCTGCTCCCCCTTTGCCTGCCGCCATGGTTTTAAGTTTCCTGGAGGCTCCTTAGAAGCCAAGCAGATGTTAGCACCATGCTTCCTGTACAGGCTGAGACTGTGAGCCAATTAAATCTCTTTTCTTTATAAATTACCCAGTCTCAGGTATATCTTTATAGCAGTGTGAGAATGGACTAATACACCAGACATGTTCTGTTGAGAAAGAGAGGAAGGTGAGGACTGGGAAAGAACAGACACAACCCAGCACTGGGGGTGAGATAGTTAATTTTATGGGTCAACTTGACTGGGCCACAGTACCCAGATATTTGGTCAAACAGTATTCTGTTTCTGTGAGGCTGGTTTTTGGGTGTGATTTACATTGAAATGAGATTTGAGGAAAGCAGATTTTCCTTCATAATGTGGGTGGGCCTCATCCCATCAGTTGAAGTCCTGAATCAGACAAAGACTGAACTCCCCAGAGCAAGAGGAAATTCTCCAGCAGACGGATGGCCTTTGGACAACACACATGGCTGCCAAAAATATCAGGCACAGCAGGTAAAGACCTTTCTGTCCCCTCCCTGCCCCACCTCCACATAGACTCCCATCTTCCACAAAGATGTAGATATGAAAAACTTTACTTTTTAAAAATTTTATTTTGAGATGATTCTAGATACATAGGAAGTGGCAAGAGTAGTCCATAGAGGTTCCCTCTACCATTTACTCAGTTTCCCCGGTAACATCTTGCACAACTATAGCACAATATGAAAATCAGAGAGATTGGCATTGTACAATCCGCAAACTTACTCAGGCTTCAGCAGCCTCTGGTGCTCTCCTGCGTGTGTGTGTGTGTGTGTGTGTGTGTGTGTGTGTGTGCGCGCGCGCGCGGAGGGAGGTGTAGTTCTATGTCATCTTATCACATGTGTAATTTTGTGTATCCAACACCACAGTCAAGCAACATTTCATCATCTCAGCGATCTCCTTCATGCAAATTCCCTTTGATAGCTTCGCCAACCCTCCCTCCCTTCCCCCTCTCTGGCTAACACTACTCTTATTTCTATAATTTTGTCATTTCGAGAATGGTATACAAATGGAATCCTGCAGTAGATAACCTTCTGGGACTGGCTTTTTTTTTTTTTCTTTTTCTTTTTCTTTTTTTTTTTTTTTGCGTTGGAGTCTTGCTCTGCTGCCCAGGCTTGAGTGCAATGGTTCAATCTTTGGCTCACTGCAACCCCTGCCTCCTGGGTTCAAGCAATTCTCCTGCCTCAGCCTCCTGAGTAGCTGGGATTACAGGCACCTGCCACCATGCCTGGCTAATTTTTTATGTTTTTAGTAGAGATGGGGTTTCACCATATTAGCCAGGCTGATCTCTTGGCCAATCTGGTCTCGAACTCCTGACTTCATGATCCACCCACCTCGGCCTCCCAAAGTGCTAGGATTACAGGCATGAGCCACCATGCCAGGCGGATTGGCTTTTTCACTCAGCATAATGCCCTTGAGATGCATTCAGGTTGCTGCACACATTGATGTTTTTTTCTTTTTTAATGCTGTGTAGTAGTCCATGTGTTCAATGTACTACAGTTTGTTTAACCATTTACCTACTGAAGAACATTTCAGTTGTTTCAAATTTGAGGCTATTACAAATAAAGCTCCTATAAATATTTATGAACAGGAGAGGTGCGTTGTCTCACACCTGTAATCCAGTACTTTGGGAGGCCAAGGGAGGAGGATTGTTTGAGTCCAGGGGTTTGAGACCAGCCTGGGCAACAGAGGGAGACCTCATCTCTACAAGTAACAAAAAAGTTAGCCGGGCGTGGTGACTTGTGATTGTGGTCCCAGCAACTTGGGAGGCTGAGGCAGGATTACTTGAACCTTGGAGGTCAAGCCTGCAGTGAGCTGTGATTGCACCACTGCACTCCAGCCTGGGCAACAGAGCAAGACTCTGTTTCAGAAAAAAAAATTACATGCAAGTTTTTATGTAGACATGTTTTTATTTCTCTGGGATAAATGCCTAGTACTGGGATAAATGCCTACGACTGGGATACCTGGGTCATATAGTAAGCATATGTTTAATTTTTAGGATTTTTTTCTCTTAAAGAAACTGCCAAACTATTTTCCAAAATAGCTGTGCCATTTTACATTTCCACCCTCAATTCTGAGAGATTCAGCTTTTTACAAAAAGCTGCCAGCTTTTGCTATTGTCACTGCTTTTTATTTTAGTGGTTCTAACAGGTGGGTAGTGATATTTTTCATTGTGGTTTGAATTTGCATTTCCCTAACAGCTAATAAGATTCACCATATTTTCAAGTCCTTATTTGCCATCTGCCTATCCCCTCTGGTGAAATATCTGTTCATGTCTGTTGCCTATTTACTAATCAGATTGTTTATTTACAGTTGAATTTAGAGATTTTTTTTTTTTGAGATGGAGTTTCACTCTTTTTGCCCAGGCTGGAGTGCAATGGCATGAACTCAGCTCACTGCAACCTCCACCTCCCGATTTCAAGTGATTCTCCTGCCTCAGCCTCCCAAGTAGCTGGGGTTACAGGTGCACGCCACCATGCCTGGCTAATTTTTTTTTTTTTTTTTAAGTAGAGACAGGGTTTCACCATGTTGGCCAGGCTGGTCTCGAACTCCTGACCTGAGGTGATCCGCCCACCTCGGCCTCCCAAGATGCTGGGATTACAGGTGTGAGCCACTACGCCCGGCCTAGAGGGTTCTTTATAGTTTCTAGATAGAAGTCTCTTGTTAGGTACACGGTTGGCAAATATTTTCTTCTGGTTTGTAGCTTATGTTTTCATCCTCTTAGCAGGGACTTTTATAAGCAAAAGTTTTAGATTTTGGTGAAGTCCAATTGATTGATTGTTTTCTTCTATAGATTGTGCTTTTGGTGTCATGTCTATGGACTCACTCCTGATGGAGAAGGAAGGAGCCCAGGTTCCCCTAGGTGACCGAGGAGGTGGGATGTGATGTGGAAAATCAGCAATCCTGGAGAGGTCTTGCAGGTGGGAGAAGGGGACTTGGGTGGAGAGGGATAATCCTTATAACTGGTGGCCAGTTGTGCCACTGTGTGGAGTCCAGCACAGAGGCAGACAGACATGGTTCTAAACCAGATGTGATGGTGCACAGACCAGCCTGGACAGATTTTATTGGTCAGCTCAGCCTTCTATAACAAAACACCACAGGCCAGTGGCTTAAATAATAGACATTTATGTCTCACAGTTTTGGAGGCTGGAAGTCCAAGATCAAGGCCCCAGCTAATTTTGTTCCTGGTGAGGGCTCTCTTCCAGGCTGGCAGATGGCAACCTTCTCTCAGTGGTGGGGGAATGGGGGAGGGAACAAAGAGAGACAGAGACAGAGAGAGTGAGAATGACAGAGAAAGTGTGCAGACAAGAGAGGAGAGAGAGTGAGAGAGAGAACGAGCTCTTTGGTTCTCTCTTCTTCTTCTTAATAGGATGCTCATCCTATCATGAGGTCTCCATCCTCCTGACCTCATCTAAGCCTAATCACCTCCACAGGGTGTCACCTCCTAACACCATTGCAGTGGGGGTTAGAGCTTCAACATAGGAATTTGGGGGGGACACAAACATTCAGTCCATAACACAGGTGATGGCAAGACCAGTGGCTCCTCCCTCACCCCCACCCTATTCCCTGATGACTTCATGGAACTTAGAACCAACTCCATGGATAGGTGGGAAGGCAAGGAACCCTGAATTGATTAAGAAAGCAACACTTTGATTTTTGAGAAAACCCATATTGATGGTTTATTGTACATTGGCAAGAGTAAATTTTGTTCTGCTCAAGGGAATGGGAACTCAGTATGGAGATAACTCTGACATGTAGGGGAAAATGGATTACGTATTTTGTTCAGTATGTTTGTTCCTGGGTGAAGCAAACCTGCCACATGTATTGCAGCGAGAAGAAGCTTTCCTCCCCGCCAGCCGGGCAACCTGCCCTTCGGCACCACCTAAAGAACCCGATGATGCCTCATTGTTAGGATTTGGTATCTCTCAGCATCAACCACAAGACCAGCACTGCCTGACGTTAGCCAAAACCCTTCCAAAGACATGCCTGCAGCTTTTGGCGAAAACTCTCTGGACATTCCCCAACATCTGTCTGAAACACATCTGGCAACTCTTCAGGGAGAAAACACACCCTGGGGATTAGCTTTATGTTTTTCTGGCTTCTCTGTCTTCATGCCATAGAGTAAAAGAAAGCACGGGTCCGGCACAGTGGCTCACACCTGTAATCCCAGCACTTTGGAAGGCCAAGGAGGGCGGATCACAAGGTCAGGAGATCGAGACCATCCTGGCTAACATGGTGAAACCCCATCTCTACTAAAAATACAAAAAATTAGCCGGGCATGGTAGCGGGCACCTGTAGTCCTAGCTACTTGGGAGGCTGAGGTGGGAGAATGGCGTGACCCCGAGAGGCAGAGCTTGCATGAGCCGAGATCGGGCCACTGCACTCCAGCCTGGGTGACAGAGTGAGACTTCGTCTCAAAAAAAAAAAAAAAAAAAAGCACGAGGGTGGGGGACTAGCATGGGATGTGGAGACAGGTGGAACTGAAGCTGCATCATATTCCATAGTGTTAGCACATCCTCTGTTCTATCCCTGGTCTTCTGTGATCCCAGGTTAAAGCCTAGAAAACTAGGATGCAACTTGTTGCTCTGGCATCTTCCCCAAAGAAAATAAAAAGGATCCTTGAGTTTGGACTAAGATTTTTTTTTTTTCACTATTTAAGTATTTCTGTAGAAATAAATCTTCACTCATCTGATAAATATTTCTTCAGAACTGTTTGCCTGGCACTAAATTATACATTAATTCAGAACAGCAAAGATGAAGGCAAGTGTTGGCTTTGTGTGTGGGGGGGGGGGCGGGGGGGAGATGCACTTTTAGGAAATAAGGCAAAATTAATGCTAATTGTGCCTTCTGATGACTTCAGGAATATAATAAATGTATTGCTACATATTATGAACCTTAAAATTTTTCAAGGGAAAATTATTTTTAGTGTGTCTGGAGGATGGTTGTACCAGTTTTTGAGAGCAGAGTTTTCAAAACGGGGAGATCCTTGAAGAGGCGAGGTTTTGAGATAGAGAAATAGAGATGAGGAAGGGGAAATGCATGGATTCGAACTTGCTTCTTTTGCCACAAAGAATTCAAGAACGTGGGAATTCAGCACTCTAAGAAAAGATTAAGCATCAATATAGTATTACATCAAGTGCGTAAAATTCAGTTGCTTTTTTCCAGTTTTTGTAATTATAATTCCCACAAAATGAATAAATAAAAAAGAGAGATGATTGTGTCCCAACATGTTTTTGGCAATGGAGGAGTCGATATTCTGCTGCTCTTTAAAAATACTCCCCTTTAGCGAGGTACACACTTGGTCTAATGTCTTGCATCCAGTCAATGCCTTTGCAGACTGATGCTACAGGTATTTCAAAGGAAATGACAACATGAAAGTGTACTAAGTAAACTAAGTCTAGGTCTACCATACTAACCAAGTTTCCTTTATTCATTCAACAAACATTTCCCAAGCTCAGGTGCATGCTAAATGTGGACAAAGCACACAAAGATGAAAAGAAGATTGCCGGGCACGGTGGCTCACGCCTGTAATCCCAGCACTTTGGGAGGCTGAGGTGCTGAGGTGGGCAGATCACGAGGTCAGTAAATCGAGACCATCCTGGCTAACATAGTGAAACTCCCTCTCTACTAAAAATGCAAAAAATAGCTGGGGGTGGTGGCACGCGCCTGTAGTCCCACCTACTCAGGAGGCTGAGGCAGGAGAATCACTTGAACCCGGGAAGCAGAGGTTGCAGTGAGCTGAGATCATGCCACTGCCCTCCAGCCTGGGAGACAGAGCGAGACTCCATCAAAAAGAAGAGGAAGAGGAAGAGGAAGAGGAAGAAAGCAGAAGACAACGACAGAGCCCTCCACTGGGTCTTGGTTTAGTGAGAAAGAGACACATAGACAAAGAGCTGGGTGCTCTATTGGAGGCAGGAGTGACATTTATCAACCTGATGAGATTTGCGAGACACCCTGGAGGAGGTGACATTTGCAGGGTGGGGTGGGGAGGTAGAGGCAGACATTCCAGAAAAGAGAAGAATCCATGCAAAGCAAGGGGCAAGAAGGAATGGGGGTGCTGAAGAAACCAGAAGGAGTTGAGCATGGCTGGCGTGTGTGTGTGTGTGTGTGTGTGTGTGTGTGTGTGTGTGCATGCGCATGAGCCCAGGAGGGGAAGCTAGAAGAGGGGAGTGCAGTTTCTTCCCACTGTGAGCCACTGAGTTTTGTATCTACCCAGCAAACCCAGGAGAGATAAAGTCTTCAATAAGAGAGACCTGAGGGGTCAGCTATTCTTCTCCTCCTCCTCCTCCTCCTCCTCCTCCTCCTCCTCTTCTTTTGGCTGTAGTTTTAAATTAATTTATTAACCCTGAATACGTAGTACATTCACTGTGGTCAACAATAAAGAATCAAATACTAAAATAATACAGTAAATATGTAATACAGTAACAAAACAAAACCCATCCCTTCCTGAGATCAAATCTGTCGTGTTCCCATCCTCTTACCACCCCGTCCCTGCAAATACTTTTCTTCATGGTTTATGTTTCCTAGAATTTCTTTATGGCAAAACTTGCAAGCAAATATAAATATGCTTTCTTATTTTCTTTCTTTCTTACACTAAAGTCAGCCTGCACTTTGCTCTTTCTTCCCTAATTACATGATACTGGCTGTTTTTCTATAGCAAGACATAGAAGCCTTCCTCATTCTTTTGTACAGCTTCATAGTACCACATTGTATCTAATCAGCCTTCATAGATACCACATTGTATCTAATCAGGCTTCGTAGTACCGCATTGTGTCTAAGCAGGCTTCGTAGTACCGCGTTGTGTCTAATCAGGCTTCGTAGTACCGCGTTGTGTCTAATCAGGCTTCGTAGTACCGCACTGTATCTAATCAGGCTTCGTTGTACCGCGTCGTATCTAATCAGACTTCGTAGTACCACGTTATATCTAATCAGGTTTCATTGTACCACGTTGTATCTAATCAGACTTCATAGTACCACATTGTACCTGACCAGACTCCTGTTAATAAACTTATGGGTTGTTTCCAATGTGCACATTACAAACAAAGTCATGCTGTAATGCGTAATCTTGTACCTGCACCTTTCTGTACATGAGCAGGTTCGTTCATATGATAAATTCTCCAAAGTGGGTTTGGTGAATCACACAGTAGATGCATGAGCAGATTTGATGAGATCACTGCCAGAGGCTTGCGTTCCTTTGGCTTTTCATATTAGGCATATCACACAATTGTATAGAGCTCTTGACATATATGACTCTGGACAGGTGTCACAGCCTGGATGAATACTGGGTAGGGAGCCAACAGCACTGATGTCATTGGAAAAGTACTCGTGTTCAACTACTCACTTTATAGTATTGGTAGTGGCAACCAGCATGGGAAACAGAAATAGTAGTCGTTGTTATAAGTTGCATGTGCTACTACGTTTGTGGGATGTGTGAGCAGGATTTCTGTATCATCAAGAAGGTTATTCTTTTCTTTCTTTCCTGCTTTCTTTTCCTTCCTTCTTTATCTTCCTCCCCCTTTTTCTCTGTCTTTCTTTCCCTCCCTTCCCCCCTCCCCTCCCTCCCTCCCTTCCTTCCCTCCTTCCTGCTTTCCTTCCCTCTTTCTGTCTTTCTTTCCTTCCCTCCCTTCCTTCCATTTTTCTTTTCTTCCCTCCCTCCTTCTCTCTTTCTTTCTCTTTCCATCCCTCTCTTCCTCTCCCCTTCCTTCCCCCTCCCTCCCTCTCTCCCTCCCTTCCTCCCTCCCTCCCTCTCTTCCTCCCTCCCTTCCTCCCTCCCTCCCTCTCTTCCTCCCTCCCTTCCTCCCTCCCTCCCTTCCTTCCTTTTTTTCTTTCCTGATGGGGGTCTTGTTATGTTACTCAGGCTGGTTTTGAACTCCTGGCCTCAAGTGATCATCCTGCCTCAGCCTCCTGAATAGCTAGGATTAGAGGAACGAGCCACCATGACTACCTAAGCAGGTTTTCCACTGTTTTCCTGAGATCCTGGTTTACCATCCCCTCCCCAACATACATACCATCCCCTCCCCAACATACATACCTCCCCTGGGGACATACTCTTTTCACTCTCCACCCCACGGGCTCACAGTGAGGCAGTGTTATCAATATTATTATTGATCAAGGAGTAACAAAAGCCTTAAGGCAGAGCAAAGGACAGTTCTTTAAAGTAAGAAGTTGGCGGGCCACAGTGGCTCACACATGTAATCCCAGTACTTTGGGAGGCTGAGGCACACAGATCACTCGAGCTCAGGAGTTTGAGACCAGCCTGGGAAACATGGTGAAACCCCATCTCTACTAAAAATACAAAAATTAGCCAGGCATGGTTGAGGCTGAGGAGGGAGAATTGCTTGACCCCGTGAAGCAGAGGTTGAAGGGAGCTGAGATCACGCAACTCCGTTCCAGCCTGGGAGACAGAGATCTTGTCTCAAAGTTAAAAAAAAAAGAAAAAAGAAAAAAAAGAAATACACCATGATGACTCAGTTTTCTCCTTTCAGAAGCAGATGGAGAAAGTGGGGTCAGGAATGTGCACTGGTTGGCAGATTTGTGTTTGGGGATCACTGTGTTATACTTTCCCAGTTTTCAGCACCCCCACCCCCCCCACCAAATTCCACAGGCAACTGCCCAGACTTGAACCTCAGAATTTTATATTGTTCTTTCCCCACTGTCAAAGCCTTTTCCACCCTTGTTCCCCCTCCTTCCTCTGTCTCCTTAATGTTTTCTCTTCTCCACTTGGCTTTCAAAATCAAATTCATGCAAATATTAATTTCCACGTCCTTCATGAAGCCTTCCAGACCACAAATACAATCACAATCTTGTCCCTTCTCCTCTTAGGAAATCACTACTGAGTTCAAATTTTGTCCATTTTGTTAGCTCCATCTTCATATCTAAATGGTAACTTCTTCAAGGTCACGGAGTCTGTCTAAAACTTGTCATATTACACACAACTAGCACAGGGTAACATAATGGCAGATATACATTTTTTCATTCATTCATCAAGCATACAGCACGTCTACTCTATTCCAGGCCATGTGTCAGAGCCTGAGGATGTCAAAACAAGAATGATAGAATCCTTGACCATGAAGAAATCAGAGTCTAATTTAGGTCTCAAATCTGCAAGCCAATAATTAAAATATGGTAAGTGTTACACTTTGTGAACAGTTGAGTTCAGCAATCACCAATCATATATTAGAAAACTGCATTCCCTATTTCTTCCTTCACAAATCTCTGTGGACAAAACTCAGTGTTTGGTGAAGCAGATGAAAAGTAGGTATAACTAGACTCCTGACACGCTATAACTGGGCTCCCGAGAAATCATCAAGTCAAAGTCAAAAGGAACCCATTTCCTCCCTAGTAGTCCCCTCTAATCAAGAAAAAAAAAAAGCCAAGGTTGTAAAAACCTGTAGCGATTCTACACAGTTGTCAGGGGGCCAAGAGAAACACACAAGGCCATATAAGTAGATAAAAAAGGAGTAGACCAAGGATGGGGAGAAAGAGCTGTCCCAAATAGAACAATGGCCTTACAGAGGCTCAGAAGGGAGGATGAGAGAGGGAGAGGAGGTGGAGACCAAAGAACTGGGTGGTGGCTTAACTCTAACCATAGCTAGATTTAGGAGCTATGGGGTGTCAGGATGTAAAATCAAGGGAGAGGTTTAAAAGAAAACAAACAGGCAGCCTGCTTTCAACTCGTTAATCTCGTTAAGTCATGGTTGTTTTGACCATGATTTTGGGCCCATCTATTGGTAGTCTCCAGTAGGAGACCAGGATAAAGGGATAACTCTCACAAGTGTGATTCGACAATTCTGGAATACTTTGGCCCATCATTCAGTTACTTGAGGGAATGATTTCCTAGAAGTGGCGTGGACAGAGCAGCATCTCTGGCCCAGGAGAAACAGCTCCTGTTCATTCTTGGACTCTGAGTCCCTTGTCGCTGAGCTCTGCCTCTAGATCCTGTCCGTGAACCCCGGGGGCCTTCCCTGTGATTTGTCACTCGTGGCACATGGTCCTGGTGAATGAATTGAGCTAGACATCGTGCAGGGTCTTTTCTAGCTTTGAGATTTTATGTGTTCAGTAACTGGAAATTCAGCTCCTCCTGGAGGTAAAATGAGAAACATGGAATCAAAGGACAAATGTATGTGGGGACACCTTGGCCCTTATTTATAAGGCTGATATAAATCACTGTCTTTGCTTGTTGACAGTCTTGGAAAACTTTCACTAGGTCTTATTTTTATCACACCTACCTAGATTTTAAAGATCATCATAGAGATACACAGGTGTCACATAGAATACTGAACTATTACAGCTTGAAAATAATAGGAAGTTCAGAAACTCTGTCAAGTCATACAGCTAGGTAGCGGTCAAGTTTGCACTATAGCCCAGCCCCACCTCCCTGGCACAGCCTGGCTCTACCATCCACACTCATTCCTCCCATCTACTAATCTCATTCATCAAAAGGTCCTTAAGTGCTAACAATATATTTAGCACAGTTCTAGAAGTTGGGGGAGAGGCTTGTCCTCAAAGAACAGATCCAGTTGGAGAAACTGGCTTTATATTAAACAAACAACACATTAGAACCACAGTCTAGGGTAGAATCAGAGGGTCCTCCCAGATGAAAATAAAACTCACTTTTCTTAACATTAGACTGCTGTAAAACCCAGTTAGTATGAATTTGGGAAAAAAAAAGAGATCAGATATAAAGGCAAAAATAGTTTAATATGGGCCCTTTCAGCATTTCAAGTTAGGGATGGCAGGGAAGGAAAGACGATGGAGTCTCTGTTCTGTTGCAATCATGGGTTGAAATAATGGCCGCTGTATGGTTCCCTATTGCAAATAAACTGGCTTTGTCCAATTCAACTTCTGGTTCACAAATAGTTACTTTCCTCTGGAGGGAAAAATAACCGGCTACAGTTGTTTCTTATTGGTTGCATGCTGACTAGTGGTTAGGCTATTAAAGGATTAACTGCTGATGACAATAATTTTCCTTTCATTTATTTCACAGTAGCAAGGTGTTTGTTTTTAACCTCTCCTAATTCATTAAACAAAGAGCATTTCAACAAGAATAGATATTTTCGAGGATCTCACCACAAACTAACCTACCCACTGCTTTTATTTTTCATGTTTTTTTTTTCTAGTTATGTCCCTCCATATGTATTTCTACCTAATTGCAATCATACTGTTGATACGATTTGGTGATGTGATTTTCTCTTTAGATTACACTGTCAACATTCTCCATGTTTCTGGAGACGTCGCACGATTATTTAATGGCCCCATAGTAACCTGCATGGAATAGTATTCTCTATTCCATGGTCCGAAGTTAGCCCCTTCCCTGTTCTTGGTCCTTAAAGGGTCTGTCACTCACCTCACCTATTTAGATGAAATTATCACAGAGACATAAAAAACATCCTTTGCAACATGAAATAAACAAGTAGCCCCAACTGCAATGTGTATCACCAGATAAAAAAGACGCACTCAGCCTGTAGAAGGCCAGGTGTGGACGGCTGGTGGGTAAGAATTCTTCCAATGGCAGGATGGAAGTATCACCAATAGTTTGTAACTAAGATACATACTGGCACTCACTTACATGATTAATAACCAGAAACTCAGAAATACTACACGCTACCAAGATACTTCCCTCGTCTCCTCTGTTTCCTTAGAACATAAAGGCTGGCAGCCTTGCTAGTCCCTCCTGCGCTAGACTGCAGGTAGTATCCTTTGTCCTGCCTATTAAGCGTCCCTGGCCAATGCAGAGGGGACGATCTGCCGGCTTCAGGCTGGCAGGTGCGGGGTGGGCTGTGTGCTGAGGACCAGGCTGGCCTTCTCGCGTCCTCTGGCGACAGAAATTAAGCAAGTCCGCAAAGAAGCATATTGCACCTTGAGGGAGAGGAAGAAAGAGTTGCGGGGGCGCGTGGGGTAGGGCCCGGGAGGCAGTGGGTGTTGGCAAGAAACGGAGTAGGAGGCTCTACAGAGGAGACTGGTCCTTGGTTAAGTGTCACAGCCGCAGGATGGGAGGGTGTGGGAGGGGTCCGTGGGGCCAACACAGGTGGCCCCTGCTGTGCGCGGCGAGGCAGGCTTGGAATGCCTTCTCCCCGAACAGAGCTAGCCCAGCACTGGGGGCTGGAGGCGCGGCTCTGGTGGGACTGAGGCCGGGAAGCGGCGCCGGGCGGGGTGGGGACTGGGGAGGAGGCGGGGCTGGTGTGGGGGCCACAGGGAGGCGGGCCGGGTTTAAGGGGGTGGCTGTAGGTGGGGTCTGGGAAGTTGGCCTCGGTGGGGACAGGGACAGGAGAGGTGGGGCCGGGACTGGGGAGGTGGGGGGAAATGGGGGCGTGGAGAAACGGAGCTTGGGGTTGGGGACCTGGGGAAGCTGGGTCCTGACTGGGGACAGGGAGGCGAGGCCGGGCTTGGGGGGTGTCCAGGGAGGCAGGGTGTGGGAAGGTCTGGGGCGGGGAAGTGGGGTCTGGGCTGGGGTGGGAGAGTTGGAGTCCAGAAGGGGACCGCGGGGTGGAAGGGGTCCGGGCTGGGACCGGGGTAGGCGGAGTCCAGGAGGGGACGCAGGGTGGGCGGGGTCCGGGCTGGGTCCGTGGGGTGGGCGGGGTCCGGGCTGGGACGCGGGGTGGGCGGGGTCCGGGCTGGGTCCGTGGGGTGGGCGGGGTCCGGGCTGGGTCCGTGGGGTGGGCGGAGTCCAGGAGGGGACCGCAGGGTGGGCGGGGTCCGGGCTGGGTCCGTGGGGTGGGCGGGGTCCGGGCTGGGTCCGTGGGGTGGGCGGGGTCCGGGCTGGGACCGCGGGGTGGGCGGGGTCCGGGCTGGGTCCGTGGGGTGGGCGGGGTCCGGGCTGGGACCGCGGGGTGGGCGGCCCCGAGAGCGTCCCGCAGTGGCTGGAGCCCTGGGCGCTGCAAAGCGTGTCCCGCCGGGTCCCCGAGCGTCCCGCGCCCTCGCCCCGCCATGCTCCTGCTGCTGGGGCTGTGCCTGGGGCTGTCCCTGTGTGTGGGGTCGCAGGAAGAGGCGCAGAGCTGGGGCCACTCTTCGGAGCAGGTAAGTGGAGCCGAGGGGAGCCGGGTCCCGGGCGCGGCCGCCCCCTTCCCTCCGCCGGCCCGGCCGCGGAGCTTCTGCCCGGGCCCCCTTCGACCGTCTCCCAGGCCCCCACCAGAGGCCCAGGGGTCCCTCTCTGTGGGTCACTCGTGCGTCACCTCTGTGTGAGCCGCGGTGCCTGATCTGGCCTGAGGCTTCCTGCAGAACTGTGCCCGGGACTTGTCCTGCGGAGCCGAGTTTTTCTTCTTGGCTCCTGTTGATTGCGCAGATTTCTGTTCGTCGTTGTTAATTTCTGAGGTAGCTCCAAAAGTTATTATAATTACAAGGTTTTTTCCTTATCACGCGTGGGGGGCAGTCTGCTGTTATCATCATTCCCAGTTGATCCAGGGAGAAAGGCAATATGAGAGGAGTTCTAGACTCCTGGGAGCCTCAGCTTTTCCCACCTGAAAACCGGGAGAACACGACTTTCCCATTTAGCGACTACCTACCGGTGGTTTAGCATTTAAAGGTGGCACCGAGAGCCAAAGCGTCTGAGTTCCTCGAGTTGCTGGTCTGTGCGTTTGTCAGGATTTGTGTTTCAAATGTCTTAACCTCGCAGGCGAATAAAACCTGCAAATATGAAATGTCAATAAAATGATGAATAGAGCATTTTTGTCTTTAAAAAGTATGAAGCGGGTTCACACAAATAGCATTGAGAGCTAATGTGCAACATGGCCCTGTCACAAAGTAGAAGTGCTTTCACACACATGCCATTTAAATATTTAAGCCGTTTAGCTTCCAGCGTGTTTGTGCACGGTGGGAGGAAGATACAAGTAGGCGGACCTTTTCTCCCTTTTCCAGCCCCTGTTTTGAAGAGCAGTTTTGAAGCCCAACTGCCTAAATATGAAGACAGTTATCTTCATGTTCTCTGTCCTGTGAATGTGCTTAACAGTAAAGTGGTAGTAATGATACTTCCTTCTAGGGGGGGAGTAGCTAATAAAATCCCAGGAGGCATCGTAGTGATGTTGGAAAAGTGCAGGCTTTGGATGCAGAGACAGGCTGGGCTTTAGTTGTGTGTTCCGGGCAAGCCCTTTAATCTCTCAGAGCCTTCATGTCCTCGTTGGTCAGGGCAGGGAATGCGGCTCTTTTTGAGCAAACTTGCAAGGACTCAGCTAATTTGTGTTAAGCACCTGGTATACAGTGGACGCTCAATAACTGGGAGATGTTTTAGTAGATGGCTGAAGGCATGGGCTTGGTACCAGGATGTCTGGGACCACTTGATTCTTGATTCTGTCACTTATCAGCTCTGGGACCCTGATCAAGTGCCTTTCGGCCTTATATTCCTCTTCTGTGAAATGTGGAGAAATGATAGGGTTGTGAGGACTGAATGCATTATGACACCCAAGTGCTTAAAACACTGTCAGCACTTAATGCTGGCCATGGTCTTAGACTCATGCTGCTGACATGCTGAGTGAAGGAATTTAGGGTAAAGATCTTGAAACTTTTTTGGGGGTGTGGAGACAGGACAGTGTGGGATGGACTGAAACAAAGATTCTGTGTCTGAACTAGGAAGGCTGTTTAAACTCTAGCATATACCAAGTTCAAGTAGGCTTCACAGTCTATGGACTTGCTGTCATAAAAAAACATGGCTTGACCTCTTTTAGTGATTTCATGCTGTCTTCAACCCAGCACAATATTTATTTATCTTGAAAATGACTAAATCAGGAAAAAAAATCCAAGGTATAAAGTTCTATGAACTTGCAATTTTACCTTTTATCCCTAATCCGTTCTTTTTTATATTTAGTTTTTGTGATATAGGGTTTGAGAGCATAGGCTTTAGCACCAGAATTCTGGGTTCAAATCTTGGCTCTGCACTTACTGAGGAGTTACTTAACGTTTGTGAGCCTCTATCTCTGTATGGGGATGATGCAATTACTTAGGATTTTGAAAAGTGAAACAATTAATATACTTAAATCTTAGAACAGAACCTGGGAATGTAATGAGCACTCTATTCTCAATCATTATGGTCTTTAAAATTGTATGTAAACTTAATTTGAAAAATGTAAGTCTATGCAAATCTTATGCAAATTTTAATATAGCTGAATATGACTATTAACTTGCATTGCAGTTATTTGTCATTCACCTGTAATTGGAAATATACCAGTAACACCTTAGATTCAAGTTCCTTCACCTCTCACCCTTCACCCCATCTGTAGACAGTGGGTACTCAGTAACCCATAGTGGAATGACTCCTAAAAGCAGTGGTTTTCACCCTTGGGGTGGAAAAAGTCACTTGGGGTGTTCATTAAACATTCAGCTTCCTGAGTTCCACTTCCATTGGTTTAGATCCATTGGGTTTGGGATGGGGCGCAGATGATTCTGATGCAGGTGGTCCATGGAACACATTTTAGTTTTTTTTTTTTTTTTGAGACGGAATCTCGCTGTGTCGCCCAGGCTGGAGTGCAGTGGCAGGCTCTCTGCTCTCTGCAACCTCTGGCTCCTGGGTTCAAGTGATTCTCATGCCTCAGCCTCCCAAGCAGATGGGATTACAGGTGCACTCCACCATGCCTGGCTAATTTTTGTATTTTTAATAGAGACAAAAATACATCACGTTGGCCAGGCTGGTCTCAAACTCCTGAGCTCAAGTGATCCACCTGCCCTGGCCTCCCAAAGTGCTGGGATTACAGGCATAAGCCACTGTGCCTAGCCGCACACTTTGAATAGTAGTATTTTTAAAGGATATTTTGGGAAATTAGTATTTAAAAGAAAATCCCTTGTATAAAAACTGTCTGCTACAGACTTATCTGTTTTGTTAGCTTAAATTTATATGGTGTCTTTAAAGATAGAGTTATATTCCCATTATTATCAAAGCAGTTTTAGATTGACAAAATAGTAAAAGCCACCAGTTATTGAGTATCTGTAATGTCCCAATGTCTCAGGGAGTTTGCTAGGAGCTTTATGTGAAAATAATAAGAGGCAATAATGTATTCTGGTTGAGTACTCCATGTGGTGCCGGACTGCCTGGGCTCATATCTGGACCCCATCACTTACTGCCTGTGTGTACCTGGGCAAGTCACTTAACCTCTCTGGGTCTCAGTTTCATCATCTGCAATATAGAGTTGTTAATAATTCCTACTACATAGGCAGGGGTGGATCTAGGCTTTGGGAGGAGAGTAAAGTTTATACAATTTGCAGGACCCTCTTGAAGGAAAAAAGTATCAAATTATAACTACAAAATTAGGTGCTAAAATGACTATTTATTTAGAAAGATAAAGAAAGCACAACAAATTACACATTTTGACAATCTGACAGGCACCACAAACATCACGCATTTTTAGGGGCTTGCACAAGTGAGGTGTCCTGGAGCTTATGTTTTATTAGCATGTAAATAATAATTTAATTTTTATAAAAATAACAGTTCTGCTTTTATGGTTGTTCGAGGATTAAATGAGTTAATTCAGGCAAAGCATTTGCATATAGTAAACACTTAGGTAATATTAGCTGCTTTTACTATTTATGCACAGCCTAGTTAAGTCTCTGACTACCGCTGTAATGTCTCAATGTACTTATTTGACAAAGGACAACCAGGAAGTCCTTTCTGAGAAGTGACAGCTGCAACAACCTACTATGTGCAAAGCCTGGATTGGAGTGTAGGTGTGCCGAACACCAAAGCTGGGGCTCTCAGCAAATCCTTCAAACAGCAAGCCATGTTCACTTTTATAATTTAGTTGAATTTATTTAAATGTGATTTGTATTTGTAGCTCATGGCACATAGGTGATGTGCAATATATGCTAGTCATAATTCAAACATCTATTGTGGTGATACATTTCTAATTCCCTGAATTGGACATTTCCAGATTTTTAATTTCTTACAAATTCTCACTGAGAAGCAAATTTTTGCATTTGGGGGGGAAAAAAACAACAAAAATCAAGATAGCTATTTTTTTTCAACTCTTTAAAAAACAAAGCCAGTGAAAGATTTTGTAAGCTTCTGGCCATTCAATAACGTCTCCCTTATGTGCAGGGCTGGATTGTTGAAATGAGTTTGTAGGGCAGAGTGCGGAAGGAGTATGCTGTGGGAGAAATTCCAGGGATTTGGTCACTCCCAAAGCAGCCATATGCCATTTCTTGAGGGTGGAAAGGAAGGGTGGGGAAGTCCTGAGAACTGGGTGATGAGCTGTGTGTGACTTGGTGTTCCTAACTAGCACTTTCCCCAAGTCCTTGGATGCTCACATATAAGGCGATCTTGCTTATCATGTCATCAGCGTAGCTGCTGGGAATGCCAGCCGGGTGTTTCTGGATCTGAGGAGCAGTGGAGTAGGTCGATTTAGGAAGATGGGGGACAGAGGATGAAGACCTGAGCTTTTTTTAGGAGGAGGGTTCTGAACCACTCATTATTTTCCCACAAGAAACATCCAGTTCCCTGATTTTTCTTTTCTTTTCTCTGTCTGTCTCTCTCTCTTTTTTTTTTTGAGACAGTCTCACTCTGTTGCCCAGGCTGGAGCGCAGTGGCATGATCTTGGCTCACTGCAACCTCCGCCTCCCGGATTCAAGCAATTCTCCTGCCTCAGCCTCCCAAGTAGCTGGGACTACAGGCACACACCACCACACTTGGATAATTTTTGTATTTTTGTAGAGACGGGGCTTTACCGTGTTGGCCAGGCTGGTCTCGAACTCCTGATCTCAGATGATCGGCCTGCCTTGACCTCCCAAAGTGCTGAGATTACAGGCTTGAGCCACCGCACCCCACCCCTGATATTTTATAGGTAAATAAAATAAACAGGGTGACTTGCCTAATGGCAGTTGCTTTTAAAAAATTTTAATCGGCCAGGCACAGTGGTTCACACCTGTAATCCCAGCAGTTTGGGAGGCTGAGGTGGGCAGATAGCTTGAGCCCAGGAGTTCAAGACCAGCCTGGACAACATGGTTGAAACCCCATGTCTACTAAAAGTACAAAAATTAGCTGGGCATGGTGGCATGCACCTGTAGTCCCAGGTACTTGGGAGGCTGAGGTGGGAGGATCACCTGAGCCCAGGTAGTCAAGGCTGCAGTGAGCTGTAATCATGCCACTGCACTCCAGCCTGGGTGGTATGAGTTGAGACTCTGCCTCAAAAAAACTTAAAAAACAATCTTTCTGGAAATTGTTTGGAATTTTAGCTGTAATATCAGGTTTCTTCTTCCATTACCAAGGTGATAGGCATCCCAAATTGCAAATGATTAATAGCTAAACAAACTTGCAGCAACATTACTTTCAAGGAAGAAAAATTTGGGGTGAGTGATATAGAATTACCCAAATGGGAATATTCTCAGACTAACCGTTCTCAGCCCACATGATAAATGGCATCTCATGTGACTTTCCAACATCTAGCCCTTTGTTCTGTTCCAGGTCCTATAGCAGATCTCTAAGGTAATTGGCCCTTAAGTTTCTCGGTTTGGGTTTCAGCATTTCAGAATGCCCTTAGAAGAATGGGGCCAGGTGGTAGATAAATTCCTTGTACAGATCCCTCTAGGAACGCATGACTTCAGTCAGTTGAAGGTGTTTGGCTGAAGCTGGCCTTGGTGTAATGGCTCTTGGATCTGTTATGGCAGCAGTCCCCAACCTTTCTAGCACCAGGGACTGGTTTTGTGGAAGACAAGTTTTCCACGGAATGGGGGTGGGAGGGATGGTTTTAGGATGAAATTGTTCCACCTAAAATCACCAGGCATTAGTAAGAATCTCGTAAGGAGAACACAACCTAGATCCCTTGCATGCACAGTTCACAATAGGGTTTGCCTCCTATGAGAATCTAGTGCCTGGAGCATTAGGAGGCAGAGCTCAGCCGGTAATGCGGGCTCGCCCACTGCTCACCTGCTGTGTGGCCCGATTCCTAATGGGCCACCAACCTGTACCTGTCCACGCCCCGGCGATGGAGACACCTGTGTTATGGGACCTAGAGTCACGGATACAATGTTATAGCTCAAAAGAAGAATGGAGGATGCAAACCTCGCCTTTACATCTGTCTTTAAGTCAACCGGGTCATTACAGCATCCATACCAAAGGTGGAGTGTCTGTGCTCAAGAATTAGGCTTTGTTTCTCTCCTCCTGCCTCCCATTCTTTCCCATGGATGGACTCTCGAGATGACTCAAGTACCTATCTCTCTTCCTCCCTCAGTCATGATCTGATGCTCCGGTGGATCCTGGGAAGAAAAACACAACCCCTATCAGTCAAATTATAAACATTTAAGCGGCACTGGCAGGTTTTTTTTCCCACCTATAGTTGCACTAATTGATAACGGGGTAGGTTTGGAGATTCCACACTCCACAGCTCTGATGATGTTACTGACACATGCTCGTCCTAAGGAAGCCTTTACCTCACCTTCTGTTTCCTGGTGGTGATGTTGCTGGGTCCATTTGTGTTAGAGGCAGGTGCAGGTCTATGAAGTTGATTTTCTGAGGATTGTTCCTGTGTTGAACCTGATTCTCTTTCACTTTCTTCTTCCCTTTCATCCCACTCCAAGACACATCTCCACAGCTAAGCTGCAGCCCTGTCTTCTTCATAAAGCCTTTCACGGTCACTCAAGAGCATAGTGATCTCTTCTTTCATCTATTTCTTTTGTAACTTATAAAACTCACTTTGTCTATTGTGCTTTCGTGAGCATATATATTTTTGAAAATTAGAGAGTATGGTCCTTGGTGGCAGAGATGGTGGCTTACGTTTTTCTCAATAAATGTTGTGGTCTGGATATCTTCTGTTCTGATGCTGGAGAAATAACCTCAGCTGGGTAGCACCATCTCTTAAGTCCATGATTTGGGGCCTCAAGGAAGTCAGTGGAAGCTCTAAGATGGCTATTTATGGTAGTTTTGCCTGAAGCTGGGAGTCAGTTACTTTTCTGTAGCCAGACTCCACCCCTCGTTTCTTAAAAGGCACCGGGAAAACACTCAAACAATAAAAAGGATCAGGAATTCTTAACTAAAAACGATGATGGTATTAATGTCATTTGCACTTCCAATCCTAGCTGGCACCAGCAATGTACGTGTACTGGGAAGTTTTGATTCTGGGTCAAGCTGAGTTGAAACTTGGACTGAAGTGTGGCCATAGTGATCCCCTGAGACATCAGATAGGCATCTCAAAAATGAAAAACCAGCTTCTCTTGTTCTCCTTGAAGCATGCTTATTTTCTCAGAAAACCTATTTTACAAAAGAGAAAACTTCAAAGAAAATACTTTAGATCAATCAGGGAACTTAATACCTGAGAGGGGCTGGGCTTTCCTTCTGACCATAGTTATTTTAAGTGGTCCCCAGGCTGCTCCACAATTTAGGGAGGGAAGGGCAAGAGATGATCATGCAAGACTGATAAAGAACTTGCCCAGGGTCCCTATGATGGCCTTCCTTTCACAGTCTCTTGTGCATCTCACCTCATTTTATTTTATTTAATTAATTAATTTACTTTTAATTTTTATTTTTTTTTGAAATGGACTCTCACATTGTTGCCCAGGCTGGAGTATAGTGGCATGATCTCGGCCCACTGCAACCTCCACCTCCCGGGTTCAAGAGATTCTCCTGCCTCAGCCTCCCAAGTAGCTGGGAAT
This sequence comes from Homo sapiens, assembly GCF_000001405.40. NCBI lineage: Eukaryota > Metazoa > Chordata > Mammalia > Primates > Hominidae > Homo > Homo sapiens. The sequence goes on along the minus strand of NC_000010.11, from coordinate 7,659,257 downwards.
ATAGGTGTGTGCCACGACGCCCAGCTAATTTTTGTCTTTTTAAAACAGAGATGAGGTTTCACCATGTTGGCCAGGTTGGTTTCGAACTCTTGACCTCAGGTGATCCACTCACCACAGCCTCCCGGAGTGCTGGGATTACAGGCATGAGCCACCGTGCCCAGCCTCACCTCATTTTAGAATTCCAAAACCGATATACTCCTAGGAAGTGTTTGGTTTGTAAACCAAGAATAAAATTTGAAGGCCCGCCAACCAACTGAATGGACTTCCTCCTCTAGTCCAGGGCCCTCTAAGTTTAACCTGAAAGACTGGTTCAGACCGTCACGGGAAGTGGGGGTCTGGGAAGTGGGGGTTTGACATGCCTCCTTGTACCCCTCCAGCATGAACATCAACACAGATCTTAAGTCTGATAGGAAACATTTACAGTCGATGCCCTCTAAAGCCTGCTACCTGGGGGCTTCATCTGCATGATAAAATTTTGGTCTCCACAACCTCTTATTATAACCCAGAGATTTCTTTCTATTGATAATAACTCTTTCAACCAGTTGCCAATCAGAAAACTTTTACATCTACGTATAACCTGGAAGCCCCCACCACCTTCGAGATGTCCTGCCTTTCTGGACTGAACCAATGTATGTCTTACATGTATTTGATTGACATCTCATGTCTCCCTAAAATGTATAAAACCAAGCAGCTGTGCCCCGACACCCTGGGCACGTATTCTCTGGATCTTCTGAGGGCTGTGTCATGGGCCATGGTCACTGATATTTGGATCAGAATAAATCTCTTCAAATATTTTACAGAGTTTGACTCTTTCATCAATAGGTTCTTACTTGGAGTCAGGGTGGATGTCAGCCTAAATCCTGTACTATTTTTCTCCATCCCATGTTCTATTGAATAGTAGACTCTATAATGGCTTAGAATGGCAACTTACAATGTATATATATATTTTGGGTGGGGAGATAAAGCAGGGAATGGGGTTAAAAGAGTTTCTCTTATACTTTTAGTCTTCAAAATGGAAATATCTGCATTTTGTTAAGACTTGAGGTCATACAGAAAAGTTTAAAGAACAAGATGTCAATCAAAGGTAACAGCCATTGATTAGCACTTTGATGCACATTCTATACATAAAAACACTTACACTTACAAAAATGGGATCATGTTACATATAGTGTTTTGTTACCTGATTTCATCACTTAAAATTGTGTCATGAACATATCTCTCAGGATAGACTAGGTTACGCTGTGGTATCCGGCAATCCCCAATTCTCAATGTCTTAAACAACAAACTCTTATGTCTTGCTTATACACCTTGTCCATCTTGGGTCAGCAGTGGGGCAGCTCTGCACCTGTTGGTCACTGTGAACTTGGGCTTCATGGAGCAGTCATTACCCCAAACATTACTAATTACTGTGCTGAAGAAAAGGCAGTTCTGGGACACTGAACATTAACTTAATGCTTGGCTCAGAAGGGACTAATGTTACTTACATTCATAACTTATTGGCCAGAACTAGTCACATGACCCTGTCTACTCACAAGGACTAATCCCTCTGGCAGAGAGCTAGGAATATATTTGGAGAACAACCTCGAAGTCCAGTAAAATGAATGTTGATTCATGTTAGTAAATGTAGGTGCAGGTCCTTATTTTCAGTAGCTGTGTGGTAATTAATCAATGTATCATAGTCTACTTAACCGAACCACATTTTCAGGGCATTTTAGGCTTTTTCTAATTATGAGCAATTGTTTTAAAAGTTTCCAAGAATTTTCTTTTGTGTTCATTTTTTTTTTCTATCAGTATTTTCTTCCCTTTTCTGTAAGTAGAATTTATAAATTAAAAGATTGCATACTGGTGGGAATGCAGAATGTTACAGCCACTTTGGAAAACAGTTTGGCAGTATCGTAAAAAGTTAAACTTGGCCAGGCACGGTGGCTCATGCCTGTAATTCCAGAACTTTGGGAGGCAGAGGCGGGCGGATCACGAGGTCAGGAGATCCAGACCATGCTGGCCAACATGGTGAAACTCCGTCTCTATTAAAATACAAAAGTAAAATTAGCCGGGCGTGGTGGTGCATGCCTGTAGTCCCAGCTACTCAGGAGGCTAAGGCAGGGGAATCGCTTGAACCCGGGAGTTGGAGATTGCAGTGAGCCAAGGTGGCGTCACTGCACTCCAGCCTGGGCAACAGAACAAGACTCCGTCTAAAAAAAAAAAAAAAAAAAAAAGGCCGAACGCGGTGGCTCACGCCTGTAATCCCAGCACTTTGGGAGGCCAAGGCAGGTGAATCACGAGGTCAGGAGTTCGAGACCAGCCTGGCCAACATGGTGAAACTCCATCTCTACTAAAAATACAAAAATTAGCGGGGCGTAGTGGCAGGCACCTGTAATCCCAGCTACTCCAGAGGCTGAGGCAGGAGAATCGCTTGAACCTGGGAGGCGGAGGTTGCAGTGAGCCAAGACCATGCCACAGCACTCCAGCCTGGGCAACAGAGCGAGACCGTCTCAAAAAAAAAAAAAAAAAGAAAAATAGACATGAAGTCTAGGCATATTTCTTATGTTTTTGATCTACATTGTAAAACTGCCTTCCAGAAAGGAAGGAAAACTTATTACTCCCAGCAACAATAGTTTACACTTCTATTAGTTAATGAGATTTGCCATGAGTAACATCCATATAATCAGCTAAGACCTTTAAATTAGTCCAGAGTGTCTAGTTAATTAATTATTAATGAGTTTTTTTTAAAAAAAATCTTTTGGCTGGGCACAGTGGCTCACGCCTATAAATCTCAGCACTTTGAGAGGCTGAGGTGAGAAGTTCGCTTGAACCCAGGAGTATGAGATCAACCTGGACAACATAGCGAGACCCTGTCTCTACAAAAAATACAAAAATGACCCCGATCTGGCGGCTCATGCCTGTAGTCCCAGCTGCTTGGGAGGTTGAAGTCGGGGGATGGCTTGAGCCAGGGAGTTTGAGGCTGCAGTGAGCTGTGATCGCACCACTGCCCTCCAACCTGAGCAACACAGCGAGGCCATGTCTAAAAAAAGACGATTTCATCACTTTCCCGCATCCCTCCCCGGCATGTGGAAGCATATAAGAAATCATCCAGAAAAGACACCATGAAGAAAATTCAAGATAAGTTCAGTTTTGCTTCCAGAGTTTCCTGGAGTTTTAAGTTGAATAGTGAGCCCACTGGAATTAAGACTGAATACCTTTACTTACTGTAATAGACACAGTAGCAAAGAGTTTAACTTGAGGCCCCAAATAAAATGAAACAGAATACAAATACTCTATCTTTTTGTTCTTGTCATTTCATCCATCTCCTCTTACAGATAGAAGAATGCTCAGGCGATGAGATAGTGTGACATTATGGGTTAAGAGTCAACCAGATCTGACAGGGATGAATTCTAATTCTGGCCTCGAAACAAACTCCCTGATAAAAAGTCAAAACTGCTTTTCAGGATAGATACAGCTTTTGGTGAATCTGAATAGATTTTAACCCCCTTGTATAACTCATGTGAGAATGACCTCACAATCATATTTCATGTCTCTTCTCTTTTAAAAATCACCTTTTTAACAGTCTCTTCTCTTTTCTAGGATGGACTCAGGGTCCCGAGGCAAGTCAGACTGTTGCAGAGGCTGGTAGGTATATTCATGGTGCATCTTGAAAGTCCATTCCCTCATTCTTCTATTTATTTTGAACCAGGTATCCACTTTGCTTGCAGATCCTCCAAAACATATAAAGTTGCTTGTAGAAAAATTCTGAGATGAAACAGCATAGTTGAGTCTTTTATAAGGCTTTCTTTAAGTGGATTTTTTTTTTCTTTTTTCTGGAAGGAGACCTGATTATTTCAGTAGAACTAAAAACACAAAGGTCTTTGCAGGTTTATTTTTTTTAAAGCCTAAATATAACTTTTATTTATTTTTATGACATCCTTACTCAGGAAATGAGAGCTTTGTTGTGAAGTAAACAACTAAAGCAACCAAAGAATTGACATTTGTAGACTAAAGCATCACGTGATGAAAGTTGGATAGGCTCTCAATGCTGCTGGAGGCTAAGAGATTGGGACCGGGGCAAATGTTCAGAAGCTCTAAGAGCTTATTTGAAACTACCTCAGTTCTTCCTTACCACTGTGCATGGAGTGAAATATCAAAATGTAGAGACATGCCTTTAGACTCTGGTGAGGCATTTATCCTAGCCCTCCCTGCACCTGGCTGGTGTTTGAGTGGATTCAGATTTCTTGTCATTACCAATATCACAATCATGACTATCTTTGTTTGGATTGAGATTTTGAATTAAAAAAAATTTTTTTTTTGCTTGGTTTTCTCATCTCCTTTCCTTCTTCTGATCCTCCCAATCTTACCTCCCCATACCCCAAATTCATTTGCCTAGTATTCCTTCTTTCATGTTTTCTCCATGTTCACATAATCCTAGACAATGACATATGTACCTAAACATGTCAAGAACTGTGAAGGGGCTGAGATTAAAGCTACTTACAAGCTAATAAGCTAGTTTGTTACCATTTCATGGATACTAGCAGAAAACAGGAGACTCCTGGGTCAGAGACAAAGGATGATTTATTACTCACAGTAATAGCAGTAGTCAAAGCATGTGTGCCATTCCCCTGGTTCCCAGAAGGTGATAGACATGGCCAGATGACACCTGCCATGCAGTTGGTTTGCATTGTGTGAAAGGAGCCCTTAACTTAGGGAACGCGACTCTTTAATAATGAGCACTAAGCCTGCCTGGTCTTTGCTCCTGGAGGGAGATATTTTCTTTATTATTCTGCACATTAAGCCAAACTGTCTTCTTCCCTGAAGGGGGAACCTGTCTTCTGAGGCTGTTCACTATACGTTTGTAAAGGTAATTCCCAGCAAAGGCAGCTAGAGTCTCTGCTTGCAAATTGTGCAGAAACACCAGAGATTCATGGAGAATAGCCTCCCAGCAATACATACATACATGTAAATTGTAAGCATACTGATAATTGAGATGATGACAAGTGCCACTGAAAAATAGAATGCAGCAGGGGAACCCGAGGCACATTTGCATATGGGAGACCTCTGATCATTGCTCTAAAACCATGGGTGCATGTGACGGCTCATGTCAACCGAATGCTTACAGAGTCTCACTCTTGTTGCTCAGGCTGGAGTGCAGTGGCGTGATCTCAGCTCACTGCAACCTCTGCCTCCTGGGTTGAAGAGATCCTCCTGCCTCAGCCTCCTGAGTAGCTGGGATTACAGGCATGCACCACCACACTTGGCTAATTTTTCTATTTTTTTAGTAGAGATGGGGTTTCACCATGTTGGCTAGGTTGGTCTCAAACTCCTGACCTCAGGTGATCCGCCCACCTCGGCCTCCCAAAGTGTTGGGATTACAGGCGTGAGCCACTGCATCTGGCCCTCAATTACTCTTATAACAATTATTTGAGGCATTTTACAGATGAGAAAACAAATTCAGAGAGAGTAATTTTCCCAAGACGACACAGCTGGGAAGAGGTGGTAGAGCCAGGATTTGAGTCCAGTTCAGTGTCTGAGTCCATGCTCTTAACTAATACACCAAATGGGCCTCTCAGTTATATGTATTTAAATCTGTATTTATATGTATTATAATTTACTAAACTTTCTGTTATTGATGAACTCTCAATTTATTTCCAGATTTTTTCACCCTGTACACAATCCTTCAAAAAACACTTTCATTTCTTCTTTTATGTGGGTATTTTTAATTCTACGACTTACAATTCAAACTGCATATACATTTTAAATTTTGCCAGGCTCGATGGCTCACGCCTGTAATCTCAGCAGTTTGGGAGGCTGAGGGGGGTGAATCACCTGAGGTCTGGAGTTCAAGACCAGCCTGGCTAACATGGTGAAACCCCATCTCTACTAAAAAATACAAAAATTTGCCAAGCGTGGTGGTGTATGCCTGTAATCCCAGCTACTCGGGAGGCTGAGGCGGGAGGATTGCTTGAACCCAGGAGGCATAGGTTGCAGTGAGCTGAGATTGCACCACTGCACTCTAGCTTGGGCAACAGAGCAAGACTCTGTCTCAAAAACAACCTTTTTTTTGATAGATGTCAGATTAATTTTTGAATACTATTACTCTTAACACTATCTGTATTCATACCATGTCTATCAGCAATGATGAATACACACATTTCTGCCAGCAACTGATATAATTACTCTTTTAAATTTGCCAATCTCTTACTTAGGAAGTGATATCTCATTGTTCCTTTAACTTGCATTTCCCTGCCTATGTACGAATTTGGAATTTTTTTCTTTTATTGCTCAAACCATTCTCCATAACAAGGATTTGGACATTTTAAATTATATTTGTTAGCCATTCAGAGTCGTTCTCCTGTGAATTGCTTTTTTTTTTCCAGGTCCTTTGCCCATCTTTCTATTGTGTTTTTTATCCACCTCATTGTCAATTTATCAGAGACCTTTGTATGTGATAGATACCTTCTGTCTTCTAAACTGGAAGAATGCCTCTCTGAATCTATCATTTATTAACTTTCTTTCTGGTATGTTTGCCACATAAAAGTGCTCAGTTCCTAAGTAATAAGTAGTTTATGTTTTCCTTTCAAAGGAAAGGAAAAAGAGGCTTTGTACACGTAGCCTCTAAGGGTACAAAGATTTTCTTGACTCCTTAGCTTAGACCATTTATATAACCTCTTAGATTTTCTTAGAAATTTCTTAGAATTTTGAAAGTCTTACTTTTACAACTATCATAAATTTTTAACATGAACTTTACTGACCATCCAGTTGGTACTAGAATGATTTTTCCAGTGGTAGACCTGGCGCATCACTCTCTTGCGTGCATGTCTTCAGTGACTCCACATCACCCGTGGGATAAGCTCCAAGGATGTGTGAAACCCTGCGTGATGCGCCTCCTGCTTGCCTCTGGAGCTCAGTTCATCCTATGAGTCTCCTTCTAGCCTGCATTCTTGCCATCTCCCTCCAGTTGTCATCCTCTGAATGTTCCGTGCTTGAATTAATGAATAGAATGTGGATGGCAACAGCTGGTACTCCCGTAACACTGCCAGGACCACAGGAATTTGTTTGATTTTATTCTGAATTAATTAGATACCCTTTTTATGAAGCTCCCTGGCATACATACACACAAAATATTTACTCTTTGGAAAGCAGGGGGATCTTTGTGTGTGAATTTCCATGGTGCTGAATGGATCCTGGCCTGGGTTTCCCAAGAGGATTCGCTGCCATCATTTAACCTCCTGACTGCAGGGTCTGTCTTGGTGTCTGCTTTGCAGCAGGTGTTCTACAGTTTGTGCTCAGGGTTTGTTTCTATTGAGTGTGGTAAGATACACAGACAGAGAAATGACTGACATGAAGGAGGAATTTCATACTCACAGATCCCTGGAGGCAGGGGCAGCAGCATACCATGCCAGGACACATGGGGAAGCACCATGGTGGGTCAGGGGCAGAAGGTGCAGAGGACAGTGTGTGTCTCAGAGCCTGCATTGGGGTTTTCATGGGAAGGAATGGGCAAGGCAGGGTAGTAGGTAGGCTGAGGAGGTTTAGGATTGGCTGTAGGGTTGGTCTCTAGTTGTCAGGTACCTGGTCCTGGGGAGATTTAGGGTAGGGGGAGTATTGGCTTGGCGCATGAGTTTTATTTATTATTATTGTTATTATTATTATTATTATTTTGAGACAGAGTCTCACTCTGTGGCCCAGGCTGGAGCCCAGTGGTGCGATCTCGGCTCACTGCAACCTCCACTTCCTGGGTTCAAGTGAGTCTTGCGCCTCAGTCTCCCGAGCACCTGGGATTAGAGGCCTCCCGAGTACCTGGGATTACAGGCATGCATCATCGCGCTCGGCTAATTTTCGTATTTTTAGTAAAGATGGGTTTCGCCATGTTGGCCAGGCTGGTCTTAAACTCCTGACCTCAGGTGATCCGCCTGCCCTGCCCTCCCAAAGTGCTGGGATTACAGGCGTGAGCCACCGTGCCCAGCCGAGGTGCATGAGTTTGATATGGGAGATGGTTGGATGTGTGGCTATGGATTGGTCGGTTTATATATCAAAGGTATGCTTGCAGCAGGGTTGTCTGCTGTTCCTAGGAACAAGCCAGCCCTGGGAGGGACGGTCTTTCCAGGATCAAAGCCCCAAATGCCAGAGCATCAAGAATATAGAAAACAAGAAAATACAGTCAATACAGCAGGTAGCATGACTCTGGGCATCATACCTCATTGAGGACCAGTCATATGTGTGTCTGTGCCTGTGCCCAACTCTGACCATTGTGTGCATCCTGTTCAGGAAGTGTATAGAATGGGGCGGGGGAGGGGGAGGGTTTTCTTGTATAAAAATAAAAATGGCATTTTGTTTTCCTTCTCCCCTAAATATAATGAAACATCACTACGTAGACTGTATTAGCACAAGTAGGTGATTCAGAACCGATGCCATTTCCTGTCTACAGAGGGGTAAAATGATTTCCCCGAGGTGGTAAATCTAGCAGTTGGGGAAGTGCCTTTTTCTCCTGTTTCATTCAATAACAACATGGGCTGTATTTTTTTTTTTTTTTGAGATGGAGTTTTGCTCTTGTCACCCAGGCTGGAGTGCAATGGCATTATCTTGGCTCACTGCAACCTCCTCTTCCCGGGTTCAAGTGATTCTCCTGCCTTAGCCTCCTGAGTAGCTGGGATTATGGGCACCCATCATCACACCTGGCTAATTTTTTGCATTTTTAATAGAGACGGGGTTTCACCATGTTGGCCAGGCTGGTCTCAAACTCCTGATCTCAGGTGATCCACCAGCTTTGACCCCCAAAGTGCTGGGATTACAGGCATGAGCCACCACGCCCGGCCCTGTATTGTTTTTCTCAGAAAGGAGAAGCATTAAGGGTTAGTAGAGATTTGGTGCGTGGAGTCAGCCAACTGCCACGCTCCAGCCTTCTCTCTAAAACAAAGGGGAGCAGAGTTAGATGATTTCTAAAGTTCTCTCCCACCTCCATAATGACTTCTCATGGTTGCTAAAGACTGGTTAGACTGAAAGAAAATAATGAAAGGTTAATCTTCTAGGAAGAGGCACTGTGGCCTGAGTGCTGGCAAAGGCCGTCCCAACCATTTCTCCACCACATTTCCAGATGGCATCTTGGGTGACTCAGGACATCCTCGGGTGGCTTGATTTTAAGTGCCTCACATGAGTCATACCCAAAGCTTGGGTCCCTTGAGCAATTAAGACACTCCCTGCCTCAAATGACTTTTCCATCTGTGTTGCCTTTGTAGGAAAAAATAATGAAGAAATTATCTTATGTCACAGGAAGATTTTTTTTACCACTATTTTCCAGCGGACATCCCAAAACAAAGTTATGACTTAAATAGAAATATGGAAAGCATGTTGGATTTTTAAGAACCGTGCACTGGGAAAAAGTGAGGCCACTGTTTTATATCCTTCCTTTCATGACACATTTTCATGAGCCTCTGCCTTTCAAAGGCCTCGCTTGTTCTTTAGGGTTGTCTGTTTCCTGTGTTACCTGCCTGTCCAATATTCTTCTCACAGCATGCTCTCTTTTCTAGTCATTGATCTGGGAATGTGCTGTGATTCATTTCCATTTCCATGTCTTCCGTGTTCTTAGAGTGTTCTTTCTGTTCTCTTTCACCACATGTAAATACTACATCTGTTTTAAAACATTTTCTTACTTTTGCAGACCTCACTGATTTATCTTTCTTCTCAACACTGGAAGGTCTTATAGTCAAGGTATCTATCTATCTATCTATCTACCTACCTATCTATCTATCCATCTATCTATCTATCCATCTATCCACTTACCCATTCCTATATCCCCTATCTCTTTAGACATAAAAGATTAGATTTCATATATATATATAGTTTTCCTCTATCTTGAGAGCTGTAGGTAAAAAAAGAACAACATGTTAAGCACTATTATGTCTCATGATCTAAATAGAAACTCTTTCTAATGCAAAGAAGAAGGAGGAGGAGGAGGGGAAGGGAAAGAAGAAGAAGGAAGAAGAAAGAATAAGAAGAAGAAGGGGGAAGAAAGAAGAAAGGAGGAAGAAGAAAGAAGGAAGAAGAAAGAAGAAAGAGGAGAAGAAGGAGAATGAAAAGAAGGGAGAAGGGAAGGGGAAGGGGAAGGAGAAGGACAACAGGAGTAAGTAGTAGTCATGGCTTCTGTTCTTCGTGTTTACAATCCCATAATCTACCAGGGCAGGGGTAAGGGTTGGTAACTGGGAGGGGGATAGACTCGTGCCTAATTGAATCTAGTAGATTCTGCACCAAGGAAACTGTAAGAGAAGGGCCAGGCTGTGGTATGTCAGTAAGAGCAGGGGCTCCTGGGAGAATTGTAGCTGGGCAGAAGCACAAAAACTAAAATAGTTTCTTGAACCTTTTTTCAGCCTGTCTCTTGGGCCCATAAACTAAGCTTCATATTCTTGATGTAATATTGTGGAAAATTCTACTAAATCTATACACTTAATTTAAGGTATAAGAAGATAATGTGATAAACTTAATATTGTCAGGTATCTTCTAGTTTTCACATTTTAAATTAAATGAAATTATTTCTTATCTCATAAATAAGAACAAATCACCATGACATTAAAAATATTCTCAAGCATACTAAGTGAAGAAGATTTTGATCTATTTTAAAAATACTACTGAGCAAGAACTATTAGCAGAAGGAGCTAAATTTTACTTGGAACAGTGTGCAGCTACAGCTGTAAACTTCTGCTTATCTAAGATGTCAACTTAATACTCTCCCCTCACTAGTATTCTACTTTTATGTAAAAGAATTACATGATAAATTGACAAGAAGAATTTTTGAAGTGTCAGAATATGACTACAGTTCAGAGAATACATTCAGTTTAATGTCCTCTATCTTCAATGTGTACAATTTAATGGATGATAACTGAGGTTCACAAGTAACTTTTGAATTAGCACCAAAGACTGAATTATATTTACTATACCTTTGGAGTTCTATATTTTATTGGTTATCAAACAATAATCACTGCGAAAAGGCTTGAATTAGCCAGGGTGTCTCTGTGTTCTTTTTTTTTTTTTTGAGACAGAGTCTCGCTCAGTCGCCCAGGCTGGAGTGCAGTGGTGTGATCTCCGCTCACTGGAAGCTCTGCTTCCCAGGTTCACGCTATTCTCCTGCCTCAGCCTCCTGAGTAGCTGGTGCCCGCCACCATGCCCGGCTAATTTTTTGTATTTTTTTTTTTTTTTAGTAGAGACAGGGTTTCACTGTGTTAGCCAGGATGGTCTTGATCTCCTGACTTCGTGATCCACCTGCTTCAGCCTCCTAAAGTGCTGGGATTACAGGCATGAGCCACTGTGCCCGGCCACTGTGTTCTTTTTTGAAAGAGACAGGATTGGAAATCGAGGCTTTGGATGGCCATTGGGGTTGACTACCTTTTACCTGTGTGATCTGGCAAAGTCACACAGTGAATGACTTTGGCCTAGACTGGAAAAGTGAAGAGTTTATATTTAAGAAGCTCTTTTTCTTTACAGTTTATCTTCATAGTTTAACTTCTTCCAAAAAAATTTCAAGCATATTTTTAATATGCTGAAAGTTTAGTTTACAAAACATAACAAAGTGTGTAAAGATCAGAAATGACATAGAGTTGGAAATAACTAATAAAATAACTAAATTTCACTCACCAGCAGTCACACTGAAGTGGGGTTGCAAACTCGAATGTCTACAGAGACTAGACAGGTGTTCACGTTTTCTATTGCTGCACAAAAATTTTCCACAAAATTCAGTGGCTTAGAGCAACAACGATTTTATCCCATCATTTGGTGGGGAAGGATTTGGACAGAGCTCAGCTGGGTGATTCTTCTGGCCTGTGGTGTTGCTGGAGGTTGCTCTGGGGTGTTCAGTTGGCAGATGGCTGCTCTGGAGGGGGCAGTGCAGCTTCCTGCATGAGCCGGGCTCCTTGGCAGGAGCAGCTGGGCTCAGCTGAATTATTCTCCATGTTTTTCCTGCCATTGTAGCAGAAAAGCAGCCATAGACAGTATGTAAATGAATGGATGTGGCTGTGTTTCAATAAAACTTTATTTACAAACAGTGTGGCCTGCCTGGCATAGCTTGCCTACTCCTGCTACAGATGAATGAGAGAGCAGGGACATCTGAAAGGACTTTCCAAAAATGATGAAAAATGATTACAAATGGATGATGGATGATGGGAGAACTGGTTAACTAAAATTTAATGCATCCATAAAATGTAATACTATGCAGCTATTTTTAAAAAGGAAGGAGGTTGATATTTTTTGTTCAGTGGCAGATTGCATTTTCCAAAGATGGCAGCACTTGAATGTGCCATTCCTCCCATGGAGATGGGGGTCTGTGCCCTCTGCCTTTGAAACTGAGTGTGCCTTTGTGCCTGCTTTGACCAGTAGAGTATGATAGAAGTAATGCATTGTGATTTTTGAGGTCAGGGCATGACAGGGCATCTAGCTTCCACCTTGCTGTTGGGAAAGCTACCAGGTGACCGGTAAAGCCTATGGCTACCAGGTGACCAGCTGACTCATGTGTAGTGGCCCATGCTGTGAGTTCATCTACACTTGCCCATTTGGAAGGACTATATAGAGGGGATTGAGGGACAACATGAGATAGAGAGATGCCAGCCTTGGCTGCCTCAGCAACTCACAATTCCAGCTTCAGCCACCCTTTGTAGAGAAGCCAGACCTCCCAGCCAAGCCCTTCTGGAATTCATGACCCACAGAAACCCTGAGAGGAAACATAAAGATTGCTGCTGTTTTAAACCACTGAGTTTTAGAGTGATTTGTTAAGCAGCATGAGATAGCTAAGACACAGATAAAGAAAGATGAACTAACTATATCACTAGGTGAGATTAAGCAAATTAGTACAGTATATATTTATGGAAGGATATACAAAAGTTGTCAAACATTGTCTCTGGGAAATGGAACTGTGAATCCAGGGTGGGAGGGAGACTGCTATTTTCATTTTATATTCAGCATAATTAGAAGTTTTTACCATGTGCATATGTTACTTGATAATTTTTAAAACACCAGTTTAAATTTTAAATAAAGCAGAGAATGATAAAGCTAGAATATACTGAGTTTGTGGGATTTTTTTTAAAGCATTGATTCCTATTTACTTTCCCATGCATCTGTAGAAATCAGAGCTGGGTGCAGTGGTATTCTAGATGCTTCGCAAATTCACAAGATCACAGCCGTGGGGCATTTCTTATACACCAGTTTAGATTTGGAGATAAAAGAATATATTTAATCATGGATAATTTAGAAAGAAAACCTGTTCCAGAAATAACACAGATCAAAGTAAACACTTCCTCTCAATTCATGGTCTTATTCACCTTGGGGTTCTTTTTTTGAAAGATAATGAGATACAAATTTTAACTTTAAAAAAAACCCCACAGGTTGTCATGCTGTTAAGATCATTATCATTATCATCCCCAGCCTAATCCTCATTGCCTTTACTGAAATGTATGAAATGTTTTTAATGAGATCATTTAACAGAAACATTTGGTGAAGCTACATGTTGGAGTCTCTTTTTTAATCCTAATCGCTTTGGAGGAGAGAGACAGATTTTGTCCTGAAGAGACTAGGTTTCCATTAAATGGTACTGTATAATACAGCTTCTCAATTCAGACATAATTTCCTAAACCCAAAGGTTTTATTCCTCAGTTTTAGCTTTGCCGTAAATCTGTGGATCACAGATGTGGATGTAATTTTGGTGATTTATTCAAGCCCTTTTCACTTGCAGATGAAGAAATATATATTTTAAAGTTCAATTAGTAAAAAGAGACATTCTCAAGCTTGATCAGGCATTAGAATGACCTGAAGGGTTTGTTAAACTGCGGCTTGCTGGGCCACCCTCTGAGTTTCTGATTCTGTGGATTTGGATGGAGTCTGAGAATCTCTAGCAAGTTTCCAGGTGATGGTGATGCTGCTGGTCCGAGGACCACACTTTGAGAAGCGCTACTTTGAAATAATTCCTTCTCAAACTAAACTGGAAGGTTTCTTTTCCTCTTTTAGGCAAAACTCTTTCAACAATACTCAGATTTTTTTTTTAAACTTGATCATTACTTAAATGAACTGTAAATGTTTATCCCTTCTGTCTCTCTAAGAAAGATGCACATCCCCCTAACGTTTTCGTTAAGCTGTTCCATTTGTCTCTGGCTTTTTTGAATTACCAAGACTGGAAGTTCTTGCACAGTCTGCTACAAAGATGAATGGCCCTGACACCTTTGCATGGAGTGCTTGCCCATTCTCTCCCCTTCCTCATGTGCTTGGCTCCAACCATTGCAGCTCCCTGTCTTGGTGTTCAAGTCCATCCTCAGGTGTGCTTGATATATATATATATATGTGTGATATATATATATGTGATATATATATGTGATATATATATGTGATATATATATGTGATATATATATGTGATATATATATGTGATATATATGTGATACATATGTGATATATATGTGATATATATGTGATATATATGATATATATGTGATATATATGATATATATGATATATATGTGATATATATGATATATATGTGATATATGTGATATATATGTGATATAGATATGTGATATATATGATATATATGTGATATAGATATGTGATATATATGATATATATGTGATATATATGATATATATGTGATATATATGATATATATGTGATATATGTGATATATATGTGATATATGTGATATGTATGATATATATGTGATATATGTGATATATATCATATATATGTGATATATCATATATATGTGATATATCATATATATGTGATATATATCATATATATGTGATTATGATATATATGTGATTATATATGATCTATATGTGATATATATGATCTATATGTGATATATATGATATATGTGATATATATGATATATGTGATATATGTGATATATGTGATATATGTGATATATATGTGATATATATGATATATATGTGATATATGTGATATATATGTGATATGTATGATATATATGTGATATGTATGATATATATGATATATATACACACGCACATATATGTACATATATATATATATTTTTTTTCTGTGACAGGGTCTTGCTCTGTCACCCAGGCTGAAGTGCAGTGGCACAATCTTGGCTCACTGCAATATTTGCCTCCCTGCTTCAAGCAATTCTCCTGCCTCAGCCACCTGAGTAGCCAGGACTACAGTCATGCACCACCACACGCAGTTAATTGTATTTCTAGTAAAGACGGGGTTTCACCATGTTGGCCAGACTGGTCTTGAACTCCTGAACTCAGGTGATCTGTCCACCTTGGCCTCCCAAAGTGCTGGGACTACAGGTGTGAGCCACCGCGCCCAGCCGGTGCACTTGATATTTGTAGCCACCTCTCTAATACATCATAGAAAATGTCTCTCAAGCTTTTGGTGGTTTGTATGCAGATCGTGATTTCACGCAAACATTTTGAGTGCGTATTTGTTTAAATAGAATAACCCTCTGTAGTAACTTTTTTGAAGCAAGGTTTGTGATGATCTTTGTATGTCACAGCAGGAATATGTCTTTGATAGCAATAGGTCGCAACCTTATATCTGTTTTGAAAACAGGCCTAGGGCTGTAAATAAATTAATAAAGCAGATGAGGGCTGAAATAAACATTGCCCAGCTAGGTGACAGTTCCTGAAGGAGAGAGTAGAATCTTATCAGAGTAAGCCAGTTGCATTCAACATGTTTTGAGAGCCTTTGTGTGCCCAGGACCAGCATGGGGGTTGAGCACACAATTATGAGCAGGACGTGTCTGCAGAGGGCAGCCAGACAGTCTCACATAATAGTGGCCAGTTCAGACTTTGAAGTAAGTGGGATCGGGTTCAAGTTCCACATCCATTACTTGCTGGCATGGACCAATATGTGCCCTCACTAAGCTTGACTTCCCTCCATCTATGAAATGGGAATAAAACACCTACTGCGTATGTCTTCAAAGACTGTCATGGGGTAATGTCTTGTTTTAGCTTGCTCGGGCTTCCATAACAAAATTCTATAGACCATGTGGCTTAAACAGCATACATTTATTTTCTCACAGTTCTAGAGGCTGGAAGTCCAAGACCCAGGTTCTGCAGGGTTTGGGTTTTGATGAGGGCTCTTGTCCTGGCTTGCAGACAGCTGCCTTCTCAATGTGTGCCCACATGGTCTTTCTTGGTGCACACACATGGAGAGAGAGATAGAGAGCTCTCTTATGTCTCCTCTCTTAAGGGCATTAATCCCATCATAGAGACCCCACCTTCATTACCTCATCTAAATCAATTTCTCCCAAAGGCACTCATCTCCAAATACTGCCTTCCCCGCAACCCCACCACCTCCCATAGTAGGTTAGGGCTTCAACATGTGTATTCTAGGAGGACACAGCCCATAACATGCTTGTTAATTGCTTGACCAGTTCCTGGAGTTAGATAACCACTCTGTTAGCAGTGGCTTGTGGCTTTCCTTACAAATGTTTTCTTCCTTCTTCAGGCCTCTGCTACCAGCTGTCACCAGATGTAGCTCTGTTGTAAGGACTAGAAAAAGCCCTGAAGAGTTTTAACAGGCTTTTACATTTGCATCTTCTAGTTACTGCTCTCATCAGGGGCTTTTGGGAGAAATTTAATTAGCACAGACTTATGTGTTCCTTTTTCTGGGTTCTAAATTCTCTAGATACTCTGCTGAGTTCAGTATTGATTCCTATTTCACAGTAATGCGCCTGTAATTCAGATAGGGAAGCTCTGGTGTATCGTTTCTCTAAGTGGACATTGAAAGTAATTTTAAAATACGAGATTTTTGTTAGTCATGTTCCGGTTTTTGGAACATTTCGGTAGTCCTGTAAATGTGATATAAAAGTGATAACAGAAGAGTATTATATACAGCACATACTTTACTTCTAAAATTCCGATGATTGAACTGTTTAAGGAACGTGTATTTTCTGCCAAATTGGACGTCTTCACTGTGTTCACTTGTTAAAGTCAGGTTAAAAGATTTGCTTGTGTGTTATTAATTGTTTATGCAAAACAACCAAGGTTGTTTTACAAAGGAAGGGAGTTAAAAATGGGGAAATCAGGAAAAGAAGAAGAAAGGAAATTGGAATCACATGCCAAAGGCTCCCAAACTGAAGATTATTTCCCTTGTGGAAAAAAAAAAAGATGTTCCACTACCACCAAAATGCTTTCATGCATCACCGATGATACTGTGTGTTTTCATTCCTACAGAAAACCAAACCTTTGATGACAGAATTCTCAGTGAAGTCTACCATCATTTCCCGTTATGCCTTCACTACGGTTTCCTGCAGAATGCTGAACAGAGCTTCTGAAGACCAGGACATTGAGTTCCAGATGCAGATTCCAGCTGCAGCTTTCATCACCAACTTCACTATGTAGGTGACACGCTGGTCAGGGATGAAGATTTCTGCCTAGGGTGGTCAGGTTGAGCCTGAGATGTGAGGTCCACAGCCTTGTGACTGTGAGGATTTATATTCCAGTAGATGGTATATAGATCAGAAGGTCAATTCTTTTGTTCAAATTCATTGGTTGGTTCATTCATTCATTCATTCCTTTTCTTCTTCTCTTTTTCCCTCCCTCCTTCCCTCCCTCTCTCCCTCCCTCCCTCCCTCCCTCCCTCCTTCCCTGCCTCCCTCCCTCCCTCCCTCCCTTCCTTCCTTCCTTTTCTTTCCTTCCCTCCTCGTCTCTCTCCCTTCCTTCTATTTTCTCTTTTTTATTCAATTTTTTTCTTCCTTTCTTTCTTTCCTCTTTCTTTCTTTCCTTCCTCCCCTTCAACAAATGAATGACCTTTATGGGCCAGGTTACTCTTCATGAAAACTGGTGCACTTCTCTGAGAAAGACAGCCTCACAGTGCTGCACAAATTCCAGTAGGGAGAACCAGTCAATAGATAAATGAACAAAGAATAAATGAGATGAATTTCAGACAGTTGCAAATATGATAAAGATGGCAAGTCAGACCAAGAGGGTCTTCTTCAGTTAGGGAGATCTGGGAAGAGCTTTCAGGAGGCTCTTCCTCCTCCATGGTGAAGTTGAGGGTTGAAAGACAAGGCAGTGTAGAACCTTTGATATACTAGATTGGATATCTTTCCTCCTTCTCTGAGCCAAGAAGTAAAGATATGTAAAACGGGCTAGGTGTTGGGTTTAATTTTTGGCCCAGGTCAGATGTAAGTTGGTGAATCTTCATGGTAGTGTGAGCAGATCTTGTGACTTTTCTCCTGGAGAATCACAGAGGCACCATGGGTTGGGTCTTGCTATTTGGACCTGTTGAAAATTGCCCTAGAATAAAATGAATGATTCAAAGGTAGTGCCCTAGTCTGGAATGCATTCTTTCTACACATCCAAAAGGCAAATAAAAATATTTCCTGGGGTTGTCATGGTTATAAGATCCATGTCTGAATTTGTCTTGGAACTGCAAGCTGGTAGCACAACTGTCTCTTGTATTTCAGGCTTATTGGAGACAAGGTGTATCAGGGCGAAATTACAGAGAGAGAAAAGAAGAGTGGTGATAGGGTAAAAGAGAAAAGGAATAAAACCACAGAAGAAAATGGGTAAGTATTGGTTAATTAAGGAATTAAAAACCCATTTTAGCAAAGTGCCACATTTTCTATGCCTTTGCCTACTCCTCTTGTCGTCTTCCTTTCCTCCAAATACTTTTCTCTTTCTTTTTTATCAAAATATAAATACATCTAGTGAATAATATAGTAGATAAGTGTTTGTAATAAAAAGGAGAATTTTACCATATTTATCTCTCATGCTCACTTCCCACACATATCCTCTTCTAATATTTCTATATGTAGTTTGCAGTTTTCCTTTTTTTTTTTTTTTTGGAATGAGGTCTCACTCTTTGCCCAGGCTGGAGTGCAGTGGTGCAATCATAGCTCACTGCAGCCTCAACCTCCTGGGCTCAAGTGATCCTTCCACCTCAGCCTCCCAAGTAGCTGGGATTACAGGTGTGCACCACCACACCCAGCTAATTTTTATTTTTATTTTTTTTGTAGAGATCGGGTCTTGCTACATTGCCCAGGCTAATCTCAAACTTCGGGGCTCAAGCAGTCCTCGCACTTCAGCCTCTCAAAGTACTGGGATTACAGGATTACAGGTGTGAGCCACTATGCCTGGCCTGTACGTAGTTTTTTTTTTTTTTTTTTTTTTTGTAGTTACCCCCTAACTCTAAATATTGTGATAGTCATACTTCAAAAAATTTTTTTTGATAAAAATAAGACATTATCTGTTGACTCTTTGCTATAAAGAAAGGGTATTTAGCAAATTAACAATACTCCTACTTTTACTCTGCATTCACATTTTTATATTATTCTTTTATTTCTTCTTCCATCAATCCAACAGTGTTTAGACTATCTTGGACTATCCCTACTATCTTAAATGATTATATTCCCTCTCCTAACCTCCACTGTCTCTCTCCTTTCTCATTTCATGATGTTACCTAATCATTGTTTGAGTTATTAGCATCTTAATTCTGACTTGTAATACTTTTATTCTTTCTTTTGTTTATAAATGGAATCTAAACATTGAAACCAATACATAGCAATTGCTTTTTAATGCCTATAGAAATAACATGAACTGCATGCAGAGCCACCTAGTACACTAAGATTATTTTTTCCTCTTCACCAGCCCAATGTGTAGGCCTTCATCCCCTTGGCAGAAAAATGATCTTTGTATCTAGATAAAATGGTGTGAACCTGGTAACCCGGTTTTCCTCATGAATAAAAAGACATCATTTTGAGAAATTTAGTTCTCTAAAATTATAGACTGCCAGAAACTTTGCTGTTGGAAATTTTATTAGTGACAAGGGAATGCCTCACTCTTGTCTGGAGGACATGAGCCATGGGTTCACTTTGATACAGAAAAGCAACCAAGGTCCAGAGCTTCAGATAAGGGATTTTCAAAGGCACAAAATTCCACGTTTATCTTAATGTCGTAGTTTCTAAAGACATAGAGAATCTTTAGTCTGCTTGTCAGTCCAGGCGGAAATGATGGTTTTACACACAGCCTTTGCTTTGAGCCTGTCTGAACACTGCTCTATTTAAATTTAACCTATACTCCATCCTTCCCCTAATTCTATAAAAACCCTGTCTCTTTCTTTGTTTGATGAGTTGCCTCATCGTGCCTCTGGTATGTGGTCTCCCTTGCTGTGGCAAGTTATTAAAACCTAACTCTGTTAGACTATAGATTTATCCCAAGTGGTCTTTATCACAATTGTTCAGAGTCACACTACAGATTAGTTTAGTTGAATCATGACATATGTTTCTGTTTTTCCTGGAGTTTCTAACTGCTTTTCTTTTTTCTTATGATATAAAATGATATAACATCTAGCGAGACACATAACCATTATTTAAAATATGTTATGATTTAACATAACAAAATGAACAGCTATGAACAAGTTTCTGCAAGCAGTGACATCCTTATCACTCCTGATATCTGGCCAACAGCAGCTGAAAGACATCACTGATTGGGAGACATTCTGATTTCAGAGCTTTTAAAACATGGATGTCTTTATATCCATGAAATACTTTCATTGCTTTTCAGCCTTGATGCAAAACTTTTACCCTGGTATCTCTTTTCGTATTCTTCTGGGTTGGCTTTTTTATTTCGTGTATTCCACATTTTCCTCTTTCTTGGCTTTCACCTTTATTTTGCAGAAGTTATATTCTGAAGTAACTTTCTCAGAATGGGTGCATGAGAAGTAAACTTTCTGAGACCTTGATTAATATTTTGGCTGTGTATGACTTTAAGGTCAAAATACTTTTCCTTTTGAACTTTGAGGCATTGCTCCAATGTCTTATAACATCCAGTAGTATTGATGATACATCTAATGGGACCAGATAACATCACTTTTACGTTTTCTCTGTGTGATGTTCTGAAGTTTTACAATGGCGGGTTTCGGTGTCAGTCTCTTTTCATTCATTCTGCTCAGTGCTTGAATTTTTCCATTTCAATACTTATGTCTCTTTCCAGTTCTGGGAAGGAGGAGTATAGAAAGCCTATCAGCTTAGTCATTCATTCACATTGGACTTGGAATTATCCTGTCTATACTGGGTCTCCCTTTTCCCTTCCATCTTGTGGTGTCCTGAATTCAGAGCCTGCACTCTCTCTGATTCTGCCACACAGTTGGGTTCTCTCCTTTGCTGCAGCCCTTTGCTGCATGTTCTGAGCTATAAAATTCTTGCTCTACTGAACACCCCAAGCCTTCTGGAAACTTCTTGAAATGTCTTACCTACTAACGGTTGCCACTCCCACTTATTCCTCTAGTGATCAGTCTGCCATTTTGAATAAGAGAACCCTCACTCCAAGTACTGAAAGCATCTGGAGTGTATTTTTGTCAGCTTTGGAGTCCTTTATTCCCTACCTTTCCTGCTAAACATATCCACCAAACTTTACCAAGATGTGAAAACCTAGTATGTTAGCTATTTTAAAGTTATGTAAAATGCCAAGATTCATTGGCCATCCTTGTAAAGGGAGAGCACAATTCACAGCTTCACTCCAAAGCTCTCTCTTCTAGCAGTTCACCTACTCAACGTCCTTTCCCATTGCTCCCTTGGGTCTGTCTCAGGGAGAGGTAGGACAGTATTCTTAGAATCCTCTCCTGGTCGGTATTCTTTGACCCTTCGTGACCTACCTCTAGCACGGGGTTTCACTTCTTCTAATACGAATTTTTATTTTTCCTTTCTCAGGACCCACACTCACACCCATGGGTCTCCCTGGCAGGCTGGTTGAGAGGGTATGGCTGGTGCCCTGTGGGGACTGAGGGAACCTGGCTCTATCCTCTTCCGAACCTCCCTGGGGTCCTTTTCCTTTTTCCTGACAGAGAGAAGGGGACTGAAATATTCAGAGCTTCTGCAGTGATTCCCAGCAAGGACAAAGCCGCCTTTTTCCTGAGTTATGAGGAGCTTCTGCAGAGGCGCCTGGGCAAGTACGAGCACAGCATCAGCGTGCGGCCCCAGCAGCTGTCCGGGAGGCTGAGCGTGGACGTGAATATCCTGGAGAGCGCGGGCATCGCATCCCTGGAGGTGCTGCCGCTTCACAACAGCAGGCAGAGGGGCAGTGGGCGCGGGGAAGGTGAGTCCTGCGTGCTGGGTTCGTGCAGATCTGTGGTGAAAACACCCAGCTGGTCCTTGGCTTCGGAGAAATCTGCAAGAGATGGCACCCTTCCCTTCAGCAAAGCCTTTGCATTTTTGTAGGAACTGGAATGATAGCAATGAAGCTAAGACAGCAACTGGTACTTTTTTTCTTTTTTTTTGAGACGAAGTCCTCTGTCGCCAGGCTAGAGTGCAGTGGCGAGATCTCCGCTCACTGCAACCTCCGCCTCCCGTGTTCAAGCGATTCTGCTGCCTCAGCCTCCTGAGTAGCTGGGATTACAGGCATGTGCCACCACACCCGGCTAATTTTGTATTTTTAGTCGAGACGGGGTTTCACCATGTTGGTCAGGCTGGTCTCAAACTCCTGACCTCGTGATCCACCCGCCTCGGCCTCCCAAAGTGCTGGGATTACAGGTGTGAGCCAGCGCACCCGGCCCATTTTTTTTTTATTAAAAATAAAATACAGCCCATGCTGTAACAGGAGATTAAAAATGTATGAGTTATTGATGCAATAATACCACTTCTGGAAATCTATCCTAGGTAGAACATCTAACATATTGGGAATGTCATATGCACAAGCTCGTTTGATAATATTTGTGGTAGCAAAGACATTCCATCAGCCTAAAGATTCAATTATATGGAAGAGATTAGTAAATTACGATTATAAAACAATTCAGCATGTGGCAGAGAAGAAAAGGCAAATTGTATATGTACTATAATGTTAAATATGAAGCTGATAAAATACTAGAAAGTTATAGAAAATAATCATTTTGTATCAGGGGTATGAGATTGTGGGGCCATTTTCTAAAAATCTGTTTTTTAACATTCAGCAATATGTTATATTCTTTCTAAATTTAAATAATGAAAAATGCTTAGTATAGATGTAAGATACAGGCATCTTGATTCATTAGCAGAATTATTCTGATTTTTAAATTTTCTCAAATTCTGATTTTTAAAATAGCTCTTCATTTATTGAAATGAAAAACTACAGTATAATCTAGTTTTAATCACCGTATTTTTTTTCTTTTTTTGGGAGGGGGCTTTCTGGTTTTCACAAAGTCTAAAAGAGTGACTTTAGTTACTATATGAATTTCAGCTAATAGTATATATTAAATATTGACTTGTGTTGGGCTGTATACTTAATATACCAGTAAGGCTGGTCAGTGTTGAATTGGATGAGACAGGAATGTTCAAAAATTGCACCAGGACTGGAATTTTAAGATTTCAGAGAATTGTGACATTGAGAGTGGAGAAATGGTAAATGATGAGCAGAGTATGTGCAGAATCTGTATTCAGTGCCTGCGGCTGCACAATCATAGAATGACCCAGGAAGTCTTCTTGGACCAGGGTATTTAGGGATAAGATCGGCAGGAGAAGAGAGAGAGCGTTGCCTGGACAAGCGGAATCAGAGAATGTTGGTATTTAACATAATGCAAAAATAACCAAGGCCTAGAGCTGGTGGTCTATGGAGGGGCAAACAGTGCGGAAAATACACTTTCTCCCCCAGCATGCAGTTGAGTTAATGACTATGTGAGAGGCCATTCACTCTCACAGACTGAGCGTTTCCTGGCTCTGCGAGAGACCCAGGTCCTTTGTTATGTGTTGGACTCAAGTCCTTTGTTATGTGTTGACTCCAAACAATGAGCTTGACATTCTTAATCCAGATCTAGCTGGTATCTAGAAAAAGCAAAAATATTGTCAAGGTACCTGGCATTTAGAAATGGCATGAGATCCAATACACCATTCTTAGGTCATGCAGGTGGTAGCTGTATGGTTAATGGATTTTAGTTCAGTTGTTAATTGTAACCTTGTAAAAAATGCAAGGCTGTAAGACTTGGCTTGCACATCTGGGAAACAGGGGTAATAACTAGCTCATGGGTCATTGTGAAGTGCTCATGTATGTAAAGGGTTGGCCGCAGAATGAGAGCTTAAAAATTATTACTAGTTTTCACATTATATTGACTTTTTTCTGTTGCAAAACTTACCTCTGTAATAAGATCATTGGTGCCTTCGAAAGCAGGTCTGTTTCTGATTAACCTGTGTCTCCTTAGCACTTAACATAATGCCTGTTAAACAGTAGGTAGCTAATTGAGTGTCTTCGAACTACAGAAGAAAAGCAGGCCAGGGATGGTGGCTCACACCTGTAATCCCAGCACTTTGGGAGGCCAAGGTGGGAAGATCAGGAGTTTGAGACCAGCCTGGACAACATAGTAAGAACTTGTCTCTATGAAAAAAATAGATAAATAAATAAAAAGAAAAGCAAACACAAATAACTAAGAATGTTTTAAAATTTCATTTCTCTCTAACAGTACCTCGGAAGAAAATTTTCTCATGTGCAACTGTGGGAAAGAAGTATTTTCTCAGGGGGCAGAGTTGTCAGGATCTCGTAAGGAGGGTAGAGTATCTGTGAAGTGTGTCTGGGATGAGAACACATTCAGTAGCTGTGTCAGCAGAAGGTTCAGAGGGGAGTCCTGTTGCAGTAATGAAATGTGTTTTGCCTAATTTTCAGAATCATAATGACTCTTCAGAGATGTGTACGTGTTGTGGGGTGTGTATGTGTTTTGTTTGGAGGGAGTATGAATTATGACTGTTAGCTAAAAAAAGTTGCTTACTGTTTATATTCGGGGCCTGTTAGTGTCTCAGAGGAATTTTTCCAAACGGTTGATCTCTTGGGATCTGTTTGTTTTTAAGGAAATTGTTTTCTTAGCTCCTTGTACCAAAGCAGATACTTTGCCGTCCAGAACATGAAGCTTTTACAAGCATGTCCCAGAGCCAGGTGCAGTGGACGGATTCCCTTTTTGCTGCTCCCCACTCCCGTCTTTCAGAGCTCAGCGGTTATTGTTCCTGCAAAATGGCAGCCTTAGCAGCTTGAAGCACAGGATGTTGTGATTTTGTCTGGACAGGGCTGTGTTTTTCCAGAAGAAATCCAGGCTAAAGATCAAACTGGAATTGGGCTTGCACCAAAACTATGATTGTGTGAATGAGGTCCAAGCCAATACATTCCGCTGATAGATCTGGCTGTGTTAAGAAATCTAACTTCTGGAATTTGTCTAAGTAAATCTCTCACCATGGACCCGTTTTCTTTCTCTTTTCTTTCCTTTTTTTTTTTTTTTTTTTTTGAGACGGAGTCTTGCTCTGTCGCCCAGGCTGGAGTGCAGTGGCGCGATCTCGGCTCACTGCAAGCTCCGCCTTCCGGATTCAAGCCATTCTCCTGCCTCAGCCTCCCGAGCAGCTGGGATTACAGGCGCCCACCACCACGCCTGGCTAATTTTTTGTGTTTTTAGTAGAGACGAGGTTTCACTGTGTTAGCCAGGATGGTCTCGATCTCCTGACCTCGTGATCCGCCCGCCTCGGCCTCCCAAAGTGCTGGGATTACAGGCGTGAGCCACCGCGCCCGGCCACCACGGACCCATTTTCATCTTTAAAGATGCAATTCTAGATGAGGATTACTACTGTGTGCTAGATACTAGACTAAGCACTTGCAGAGTGTATTATCTCATGCAATTTTTATAACAACCCTCTTAGCTTTTTTTTTTCAATCCCCATTTTAATTATGAAGAAGCTGAGAAACCTTACTTACTAAAACAGAGGTTCAGTAATATGGACAAGGTCTCATATTTAATTATGGATAGAAATAGAATTTAAACATAGGTCTATTTTATTCCAAGTTATACCCTTAACCACTGCACTATCTACCTCCTCATTAAATAGACTGTACATTACTGTGGGTGGAGTTCAAATTCCAACTCTCTTCCTAAATATAAAAATAAAAAGAAAGGCTAAGAGCAATACAATCCACCTTTGCCTCAGTTTACTTTATGATATATCAGGATTGAACCCACATCTGTTGAATTGTAAATTAATGGGATCTTTCCCAGTGTAAAAGGCAATCCTGTGAGACGTATTTTGGAAGATGAAACATTATAATTTCTGTTTATTAAAATAGTTAACACAGGTACGTGGTTGAAAATCTCAAGCATTACAAATTGGTATACGGTGAAATACAAGACTCCCTGTCTCTACTGTCTCTCCGTTCTCCACTTCCGCAGTTCTTATCCTCTACAATATTCTCATGCTTTAAGAGCTCAGTGGAACAGAGTATTTGAAATGAACGCTTTCCTGAAACATGCCTGGGATGTGTGATTTCTGAAGGTATATTCTCATTGGTATTCCGAGACAGATATTCCCACTGTGTGATTGTTTTAAGGCTGGTTACTCTACTGTCTTTGCTAAACTCATAAACTTCCAACTGTCTCACTTATGGCCTAAATTACTACCCCTGCCATGATTCCAATACTTTTTTTGGCAGAAAATTTTCATTTATGACAAGATCCCCAATGACTAGGGGTAAAATAAAATGAGAAACATCAAGTGAGAAAAAGAATACCTTACTTACTTTATTATCCTTGTGATTTTACATCAATGACTCTCAATCCTGACTATACTCTCTAGTAACCTAGAAGGGTTTAGAAAGAATTCCAGACAACGTACTCTAGACAAGTCCTACCCTAGCCTAGACAAGTGAATTTGAATGTATTAGGGTGGGGCTACGGAGCTGTACTTTTGGGTGTGATATTCTATACATGTATATTAAAAACTTAAAAATCTATGAGTGATTAAAAAATTTTTAGTTATTTGTAAAGTTAAGAATAATGCTGATTATTTTTTTCTGCCACTTGACAGGTGTGGTTGTATGATTTTCATAGTTTATCCCTTCTATTCCTTGCTTTTTAAAAAAGTTTTAGGGAAGTTTAATTTACACACTGTAGCATTTACTTATTTGAAGTGTATAATTTAATGATTTTTAGTACATTGGCAGAGTTGTACAACCATCATCAGGGTCCAATTTTAGAACGCTGCTACCACCTCAGAAGGATCCCTGTACCCATTTGCAGTCACATCCTGTTGCTACCCCAGCCCCAGGCAACCGCTGATCCACTCTTCATCCCTGTAGACTTCAAACAGCTATATTTTTAAAAGCACTGCAGCTAATTCAGATGCTCAGTAAAGGTTGAGATCTATTCCCTTGGATTTTCCAGCAGACCTTAGGAATATTAACTATATCAAAATCTTGACCTACAGAAGCAGATTTTAAATTAAACAAGATTGGGCCAGGTGCAGTGGTTCATGCCTGTAATCCCAGTATTTTGGAAGGGCAAGGTCGGTGGATCACTTGAGGTCAGGAGTTCAAGACCAGCCTGGCCAACATGGTGAAACCCCATTTCTACTAAAAAAAAAAAAAAAAATACAAAAATTAGCTAGGCGTGGTGGCCCATGCCTGTAATCCCAGGTACTTGGGAGGCTGAGGCAGGAGAATTGCTTGAACCCGGGAGGCGGAGGCTGCAGCGAGCTGAGATTTTGCCATTGCACTCCAGCCTGGGTGACAGAGTCAGATTTGGTTTAAAAAAAAAAAAAAAATTAAACAAAGTTGTTTCTCAATTTCATGGGGCCCTTCAGATTACTCTGACTTTAGATCCTTGTTAAAATGTATTTTGTTCCTCTTTTCCACCGACAAGTTTTCACTCTCAGATACAGGCCAGTGTAGAATTATGTGGTTGGTGGAAACAACCTCTTCCCATCTCCTGCTTCTGCTCTTCCACATGGAGACCAGAGATGGAGAAATCCCAATAGCCAAGCTCAGTGGGCCGGTGCAGTCTTCGTAATACAGTCTTAAGCTCGTTAAATTAGGTATCTCATCTTCTTTTGGAGAAAAGCATGATTGTTCAGGACATTTGGTGTCAAAAAAGAGCTTCTTAAAGGTACTTGAGTCCCTCTCTGGCTTCTTGGACTTGTGGGACTTGCCCTTCCCACAGTCCTCCTGCTCCAACCCCAACTCCACGTTGAGAGAAGAGGCTCCAAGTCTGGCTTAGCGTCAGCCTTCATCCCTGTGGTTTGACGGCTCCATTGCCAACCTCAGTGGTTCCCAAACTTTGCCGCCCGTTAGAATCCACGGGAGCTTTTATAAATCTATTGCTTAAGCCTCACCCATGCCAATGAAATCAAATAGCTGCCGATGGAAACTAAGTGTCAGTATTTTTTATTAAGAAGATCCCCTTGTGATTGCAACGGACAATAAAGTTTGGGGTCTAGACTGTGATGTCCTGTTTTCTAGCAATATTCCGCTGTAGTTCCCGCCACTTTGTTTTCTAAACTCTTTTTTTTTTTTCCTGGGCTGCTTGACCCCATTTCCAAGCTGCCACCTGGGGTTCCTGGGTAACCTCAATTCCTCATCTCTATCAAAACTGAAGGACTTACAAGACCTTGCGCTAACCTAACATTAAAAGGAAATCTTAACTCTAGGAATGGGGAGACCTTTGTAACTGTTTTCATGTTCTCCTGCCATCTGGTTCATCACCGAGAAGTGTTTGGCCGTTAAGAACACGAAAGAAAGAGATAGAGTATCAGGTTATGCTCTTAAAAAAATACATTCTAAAAAGACAACCTACAGAATAGGAGAAAATATTTGCAAATCATATATTTGATAGGAGTCTAGTGTCCAGAATATACAAAGAATCCTTACAACTCAACCACAAAAGGATAAACAACCCAATTAAAATACGAGCAAAGGACTTGAACAGACGTCCTTCCAAAGAAGACATATGAATGGCCAAAAAGCATCAGAAAAGGTGCTCAACACAATTAGTCATTAGGAAAATGCAAACCAAAACCACTTCTCACACCCTAGGATGGCTATAATGGAACAAACAAAGGAAAGTTACAAGCCTTGGGGAAGATGTGGAAAAATTAGGACCCTCGTACATTGCTGGTAGGAATGTAAAATGAAGCAGGAAAATATTTGAAGATTCCTTAAAAAGTTAAAACGAGCAAGTTAAGAGATCTAGCAAGACCCAAGATCTGGCAAAATTTACCAATGTAAGTCAAGAAAATGCTGAAAACCTAATATCACTGTCATAACCAACAGTTATTTCTCCCTCAGTTCCTTCAACAAACACTTACAGAGCACCTATGCTAGGTATATAGTAAATTGTACACTTAAAATGAGTAAATCTTATGGTGTGTAAATTAAACTTCCATAAAACTTTTTTTAAAAAGCAAGGACTAGAAAGAGTAAACCATGAAAGTCATACGACTACACCTGTTGAGTGGCAGAAAAAATAGTCAGCATTATTCTTAACTTTACAAATAACTAAAATTTTTAAATTACTTATAGACGTTTAAGTTTTTAATATACATGTATAGAATATCACACCCAAAAGTACAGCTCCGTAGCCCCCCCAATACATTCAAATTCACTTGTCTAGGGTAGGACTTGTCTAGAGTGGGTTGTCTGGAATTCTTTCTAAACCCTTCTAGGTTACTAGAGAGTATAGTCAGGATTGAGAGTCATTGATGTAAAGATGGAGCACATCCTCTGGGTATATATTCAAAATAACTGAAAGCAGGTACTTAAATACTTGTT
Organism: Homo sapiens; assembly: GCF_000001405.40. Taxonomy (NCBI): domain Eukaryota; kingdom Metazoa; phylum Chordata; class Mammalia; order Primates; family Hominidae; genus Homo; species Homo sapiens. Next base: position 7,629,787 of record NC_000010.11, on the reverse strand, counting down.
CAGAAATGTCTACAGTAGCAGTATTCACAGTAGCCCCAAAGTGGAAACAACAAAAATGCTCCTGAACAGGTGAATGGAAAAACAAAATGTGGTATATGCGTACAATGGAATATTATCCAGGCATGAAAAGGAATGAAACACAGATACATGCCACAACACAGACACACGCTGCAACATGGATACACGCTACAACATGGACACATGCGAAAACACAGATACATATGATAACATGGATGCATGCCACAACACGGACACACGCTGCAACACGGACACACGCTGCAACATGGACACACGCTACAACATGGACACATGCGAAAACACAGATACATATGATAACATGGATGCATGCCACAACACGGACACACGCTACAACATGGACACACTCTACAACATGGACACACGCTACAACATGGACACACGCTACAACAGGGACACACGCTACAACATGGGCACACGCTACAACATGGGCACACGCTACAACATGGACACACGCTACAACAGGGACACACGCTACAACATGGACACACGCTACAACATGGACACACGCTACAACATGGGCACACGCTACAACAGGGACACACGCTACAACAGGGACACATGTGAAAACACAGATACATATGATAACATGGATGCATGCCACAACACGGACACATGCTACAACACGGACACACTCTACAACATGGACACACACTACAACATGGATACACGCTACAACATGGGCACACGCTACAACATGGACACACGCTACAACAGGGACACATGTGAAAACACAGATACATATGATAACATGGATGCATGCCACAACACGGACACATGCTACAACACGGACACACGCTACAACATGGACACATGTGAAAACACAGATACATATGATAACATGGATGCATGCCACAACACGGACACACGCTACAACACGGACACACGCTACAACAGGGACACACGCTACAACAGGGACACACGCTACAACATGGACACATGCAAAAACACAGATACATATGATAACATGGACACACGCTACAACATGGACACACGCTGCAACATGGACACACGCTGCAACATGGACACACGCTACAACATGGACACACGCTGCAACATGGACACACGCTACAACATGGACACATGTGACAACCCAGACAACATGGACACATGGTACAACATGGACACATCCCATAACATGGATGCATGTGATAACACAGATACATGCTACAGCATGGACACATGTCACAACACGAATACATGGTATCACATGGACACATGCCACAATGCACATACATGCTACAACATGGATACACACTATAACACAGACACATGCCGCAGCACGGATACAGGCCACAACACGGACACATGCTACAGTGTGACGGAGTCTCGAAAACATTATGCTAAGTGAAAGAAGCCAGACTGAAAAGGTCACATGTGTATGATTCCATTTAGCTGAAATGTCCAGAACACACAAATCCGTAGAGACAGAAAGCAGATTGGTAGTTGCCTGGGGCTGGGAGGAGGGAGAAATGGAAAGTGGCTGCTGGATGGTTACAGAGTTTCCTTGGGGTGATGAAGATGTTTTGGAACTTAATAGAGGTAGTGTTTGCACAACATTGTGGATGTACTAAATGCTATTTGTTTGTATACCTAAAAATGGTTAATTTTGGCTGGGCATGGTGGCTCAGGTCTGTAATCCCAGCACTTTAGAAGGCCAAGGTGGGTGGATAACTTGAGGCCAGGAGTTTGAGACTGGCCTGGCCAACATGGCGAAACCCCATCTCTACTAAAATACAAAAACGAGCTGGGCTTGGTGGCAGGCGCCTGTAATCCCAGCTACTTGGGAGGCTGAGGCAGGAGAATCGCTTGAATGTGGGAGGCGGAGGTTGCATTGAGCTGAGATTGCACCACTGCACTCCAGCCTGGGAGACAGAGCAGCAAGACTCTGTCTCAAAAAAAAAAAAAAAAAAAAAAAAAAAAAGGTTAATTTCATGTTCTGTGAGATTCACCTTGACTTTTGTTAAAAATGAAAAAATTACATTCTAGGTGGTTAGAATCTCCCTTCCTCCACATGCCCTGGAAGCCAGTTTGCTGTGTTCTCTGGCTGTTCTCTGTGGGTGCTTCACATGTGTGGGAAGGCAAATAAAAGGACTGGGTACTAACCAATTTATGGCTTGCTTTTTAATCATATCACTCCTGTGTAAGTGTCCAATAAAATGCCAATCTTCAAATAATCCTAAGAACTGAGGAAGCGTCATTGGAAAGAAGAGAACCACTGAAAATACAGCTTTATGACCTTTTATTTGGAAGACCTGGTGGCTGACACTGCAGCTGTCTTTGAGGACAGGCTACTGACCAGCCACACATCCCGCAAGGTCAAGTCCCCTCGACCAGAGACTAGCACAGTGTCCTGCATTTCAGTTGATGCCCAAGAAGGGCTTGAATTGAACCTGTTTAATTTTTTTTTTTTTTTTTTTTACTTTATCTTCTTATTTTCTTTTTTTTCTTTTACTTTAAGTTCTGGGATCCATGTGCAGAACGTGCAGGTTTGTTACATAGGTATACATGTGCCATGGTGGTTTGCTGCACCCATCAACCCGTCATCTAGGTTTTAAGCCCCGCATGTATTAGCTTTTGTCCTAATGCTTTCCCTCCCCTTGCCCACCACCCCGTTTTTGAAATTATTCTGATGTTTTTCTTTGCTCTGTGAGCATCATGATCTGCCTTTGCTGTGAAGACTTCGGTTGTCTTCGTAGACACTTGGTGTGGCACCTGGCATAGAATGGGTGCTCAGCAGGTGTTTGTTGAAGGAACTGAGGGGAAATAATTGTTGGTTATGACAGTGCTATCAGGTTTTCAGCACTTTCTTGGCTTACGTTGGTAAATTTTGCCAGATCTTGGGTCTAGCACTTATGTTGTTATGAAGCAGGGATTAAGAGACAAAAGTAATAACTAACTTTGGTTCCAGAAAATTCTGGTTACAGAAAATCTGGATAAATCCCCCTTAGCTAGGGTTGCCAGATGAGATATAAGATGCCCAGTTTCATTTGAATTCAGAGAAACGATATGTCCTGTGCAATATTTAGGACATGCTTGCACTAGGAAATTATTCATTGTTTATCCGAAATTCAAACGTAACCAGGCATTCTGTATTGTAATTTGCTAAATCGGGCAACTCTGCCTATTAAAGGGCTGCACTGTGACTGGCTGTGAAACCCCCAGCTCCAGGGTCCCGGTCTGGGTCCGGTCTCTGCTCTGCGGCTGGAAGGGCAGGACCCTGTTTGGCCTCTGCGAAATCTCTGTACCTTTGCCAGGAAACAATCTGGTTGTTATGTGAAGGTTTCCAGCATTGTTCACACAGAAATTATTCAGGTATGAATCATTTGGCCCCATAGTTGGTTGTGTTTTGATTTTTAATCCAATATGAAAATCCATGTTATCTTGTTTGTTTTGACGTTGGCTGTGGCTCGGTCAACCCAAGAGCGTGGCACGGTCAACCCAAGAGTGTGGCACAGAGGCTTTGGCTTTTCTCTGTAGCCCAATACCGGTGAGACACCTCCTCTTTACTGTGAGGCTTCACTCTTTTTCTTCCTTTTTCCTGCTGCCTTGGCTTGCTGTGGGAGGTGGATGTTGTCAGCATGTATGACCTGGGCCATCGCAGCTGTGGCTGAACCAGAGGTGGGCCGGGGGATGTGATGCAGATCACCAAGAGCATCTGCCACACCCCCTGAACACTTTCGGGAAGAGAAACATCAGTTCCCTTGAAGGGCTGCTCTGTCCATCTGCCCAGCTATGCACTAATGCATTTCATCATTTTCATCCTCAGTGTTCCGCAAGCTGGACGTGAACTCTCACATGTTTCTGGCGCTGTGCAAGGTTCCTGGAATCTACAGACGTCTAAGATGTTGTCACTGCCTTTGCAGAACTTAGAGCTGGCAATTAAAAACCTTGTAAAAATTGTGATAAAAAGCACACAATGTAAAATTTACCATCTTAGCCATTTCTTTTTCTTTTTCTTTCTTTCTTTCTTTCTTTTTTTTTTTTGAGACAGAATATCACTCTGTTACCCAGGCAAGAGTGCAGTGGTGCAGTCTTGGCTCATGGCAATCTCTGCCTCCTGGGTTCAAGCAATTCTCCTGCCTCAGCCTCCCCAGTAGCTGGGGTTACAAGCTCACGCCACCAGGCCCGGCTAATTTTTGTGTTTTTAATAGAGACAGGTTTTCACCATGTTGGCCAGGCCGATCTCGAACTCCTGACATCAAGTGATCTACCTGCCTTGGCCTCCCAAAGTGCTGGGATTACAGGTGTGATCCACATGCCCGGCCCATCTGAGTCACTTCTAAGTGTTTGGCAGTGTTAAGTCTATTCACATTGGTGTATTACCAATCTCCTGAACTTTTCCATCTCCCAAACTGAAACTTTGTACCCATTAAACACTGACTCCTCATCTCTCCTTCCCCCTGGTCCCAGATAACCACTGTTCTCCTTTCTGTCTCATCTATGAACTGGACAACTTTGCATACCTCATGTAAGTAGACTTATACAGTATCTGTTCTTTTGTGTCTGGCTTATTTCACCTGACATAATGTCCTCAAAGTTTATCCATGTTGTACCACATGTCAACATTTCTCTTCTTTTGAAGGCTGAATTATATTGCACTGTGTGTCTGCACCAAGTGCCACTCTGCTTTTCTCGGTTATTAGCCCCTGCTCTGCCTGCGTGCCAGAGAACCCTGCAAAGGCATTTGACAGAAGTCTCTCAATCTCATATTCCTTGGCTGCTCTACCATTGTTTCTGGTGGGCTTCCATTTGGTTGAATTCAAATGCTTGGGGCAGCTAGTATTTGAGGTCTCCAATGGACACGTGATGGCAGAAAGGGATAATGCATATATATATATATATATGTATGTATATATATACACATATATATACATACATATATACATATATACACATATATATGTGTATATACATGTATATACACATATATATGTGTATATATATATATATTTTTTTTTTTTTTTAGGCAGAGTCTCACTCTATCGCCCAGGTTGGAGTGCAGTGACACAATCTTGGCTCACTGCAACCTCTGCCTCCCAGGTTCAAGCAATTCTTCTGCCTCAGCCTCCTTAGTAGCTCATTTTTGTATTTTTAGTAGAGACAGGGTTTCACCATGTTAGCTAGGCTGGTCTGGAACTCCTGGCCCCAGGTGATCTGCCCCCCTTGGCCTCCCAAAGTGCTGGGATTATAGGCATGAGCCACCGTGCCTGGCCTGATAATGCATGTTTGTTTGTTTGTTTTGAGATGGAGTTTCGCTCTTGTTGCCCAGGCTGGAGTGCAATGGTACGATCTTGGCTCACTGCAACCTCTGCCTCCCGGGTCCAAGTGATTCTCCTGCCTCAGCCTCCCGAGTATCTAGGATTACAGGCATGCGCCACCATGTCCCGCTAAGTTTGTATTTTTAGTAGAGACGGGGTTTCTCCATGTTGGTCAGGCTGGTCTCGACCTCCCCACCTCAGGTGATCTGCCTACCTCGGCCTCCCAAAGTGCTGGGATTACAGGCATGAGCCACTGTGCCTGGCCTGGGAATGCATATTTTTAAGGGTTAACTTTTAGAAAGTGTGCTTGCTGGGTGAGGTAGTTGTACTTGTTTTCACACATAGTCTCTCTTGGGAAATTTTTTCAAATATGGAAAACTGAGAGTTGGGAATCTATTATTTTAGGAAGGAAGAGCATTGAATAAGCAGTGAAGAAAGCTGATTTGCTAAGAAACCTGGGCAAACATCTACTTAACTATAAAATACTACAGTTGAGTTTGAATCCCTTCAGCTATAAATTTGAATTAGTATTCTGTGCTATGTGTTGCTATCATATCTATATGATGCTGTTTTCCAAAAGGATTTAAAATACCAAACATTCACGTAGGGGGAAGAAAAATCCTTTCCCAAAGGAAAACTGTGGATAGTAAGAGACTTATGAAGGTATTTTTTTTTTTTTTTTTTTTTTGAGATGGAGTCTTACTCTGTCGCCCAGGCTGGAGTGCAGTGGTGCAATCTCGGCTCACTGTGAGCTCCACCTCCTGGGTTCACGCCATTCTCCTGCCTCACCCTCCTGAGTAGCTGGGACTACAGGCGCCTGCCACCACGCCTGGCTATTTTTTTGTATTTTTAGTAGAGACGGGGTTTCACCGTGTTATCCAGGATGGTCTCGATCTCCTGACCTTGTGATCCGCCTGCCTTGGCCTCCCAAAGTGCTGGGATTACAGGCGTGAGCCACCACGCCCGGCCTTATGAAGGTATTTAACCAAATTCCTTCTCATCGTCATTGCCTCTGTGTTACCAGTTTTTCTTTCAATCCTCTGCTGATTTGCTTGAGTTTTATCTTTATTGCCACCCTCAGAGGGTAGTGCTCCAATTATTCACAGTATTTTTGACCTCCATATATTTAAGAAATTGCCTCGTTGGATCCCAGGTAAGCAGGGTTCATAAACAAACATAGACAATTTAAGCTTCTTTCTAAAGAGGAAATGAGCAGGCAGCGTGTGTTGGGAAATCCTTTTGTCAATGCACCAGGTGTTGGCTGCTTTTCTCCGACAGCAGCCAAAACCCAGACCCTCAGGAAACAGAGGCCAGGAAATCCCTCTCCCTATCAACCCAGAGGGTGGCGCTTCCAGCCCGTGGCTGTGAGCATGGGGCTCTTCTCAATCTTTTCACCTTTGGCATTTTACATAGCAGTTGGCTGCCATCTTTCCCCATGTGATAATTGTCTAGGAAAAGATTGTATGTTTGCGACCAACCTCCATGTATCAGGACATCACTAAGGACATATGTTTTGTTCTCTTCAACTCTGATGCACAAGCTATAAAGTACTTTGTCATTACCTAATAGGATCAGACATAGGAATATTTAATGGCACTTATAAACATGGTTCTTAACTTTCTTTAGAGTCCTTGGAGAATGTGGCAAAATCAATGCATCCTTTCTTCAGAAAAAAATGTACATTTACGCTTACGTGCAAAATTCTGTGTATAATTTTAAGGGACTTTCAGACAGCTACTGACTTCATTATATTTTGTAAAGATTATTCTTTTTTTAAAGATTATTCTTTATATAAGCATATTGACATATGTATAATGTGTATATATATTGAATTTCCTGTTATGAATGTTTATTATGTGTCTGTCCTTTTAAAATATTGTTTTTTTCAAGCTTTCAGTGGTATAGAGAAAACTGTTATGACAAAATGTGAACTGTATGTTATCCAAGAGCATTTTTTTCTTTATAAGTTGCCTTTCATAATGGACAAAGTACAAAAAACTACTTCTGAAGGGGAAGAGGATGGAGCTAGTATGTATTGAGCACCTACTGTCTGCCAGGCACCACACGGGGTACCTTACATATGAGATCTCACTACATCTCAACAATGATTCTGTGACTGTGGAATTGTTTCCATGTAACAGATGTGGGACTGAAGCTCAGGAATATTAAGTCAGTCGTTTTGATTCAGTCACACTCTAGAACCCACTCTCTTTGGTATTCTGTAGTTTGCAAAGATAACACAAAACTTCTTGCTCTAAAATACTGGGCTTTAGAAAAGAAGAGAGCCCCCTGGGAGTCCTGGTGGCCTGAGAGGCAGGGAAGAGTCAGTGAGTGGAGGAAGAGCATGAATGAATTTTCCCGAGGGCAGGAGAGGCAGTTGTGTGTCCCTGGGGTTGTCTTGCATGGGATCACCAATGCCTGCATGAAGACAGGAAGATGGGATTAGAAGACTTGGCCTCCCTCAAATCGGAGCAGCTGCTCCAGCTCACCATAGAAGTGGGCAAGAAGGAGAGAACACGAAGGAGGAAAGAGACATGGGTTCTCATTAGACAAGTGGGTCAGATTCTTCCTCTTTTTTGTTCTGCACCAATGTCTTTCCTTGCGGTCTTCATTAACCTGTGACTCTGATGACCCTGCGGGTGACACTCATTTTTGTGCTTAGGAAATATCTGTGGCGGTAAGCAGGGTGAGCCCCCATTCACAGCAAGGAAAAACGGAGTCATGTTCTTCTGCTCTGGGATTTTGGTCAGTAACGGTGGAACAGCCCATATGAACCTACTTAACAGATTTTTTTCCCCCTTAATAAAAAGATGATTCTATTTTCTAGAGATGCTCCTCTGGAATTGCTCCCAGTAAACTTAAAAAAAAAGTAGTGAAAAATTTATTGGGTCACATTTACTGTCTGCTTCTTCCTGGGTGGTGGTTGGCCTCAGGAACCAGGCTCCTTGGTGAGTAACCAAACTGAGAATCAACCCATTCTTTGGGTGTGTAAAATAATCCCATTTAGTTGAATCTCATGAATTTTCATCATGAGCTAGTAAAACCAGAGGTCACTAGGAAGCCAAAATAATCATACAGTATCCTTCCTCATGGTCCATATCAAAGAGCCTAGTCGAGTGAATGATGGACAGAGAAATTATACTTTCTAATCCCCAGTGCTTTTACTCAGCCATGAATGGTATTAATTCAGGGAGCTTGTAAAAAGCATTTTCACGAGATTGGAAGCAAGACTAAGTAGGTACATGCTGGCAGCATAAAGAGAGTCTAATCTAATTATTGTAGAATCTTAGAGATAATCTAAGTGCTGCCTAATTGCATACAACACATTTTATTGACACTTTTCTATGTGTAAGGCACACAGACCATGTGTAAGCTACATGCCTATTTTCTATGGGCAAAAACCGGAATCACCCAGAGGGCTCGTTAAAACACAAATGGCGGAGTCCCATCCCCAGAGTTTCTGACTCCGAGTTTCTGGGGTGGGCCTGAGAATTGGCATTTCTAGCAAGTTCCCAGGAGCTGCTGATGCTGCTGGTTCAAGATCACACTGTGAGAACTGCTCTACACCCTCGTGGGGGGGATTATTCCAGGGTTCACTTGAGCCCTTCTAATGGGATGGGTTGTGAAGGCGGCCGATCCCAACAGGACAGCTTTCTTAGGGTTCACCGACACTGCGCTGAAAAGTGCCTCCCGGAAACTCTCTCCCTGGTCCTAATTCTGCCGGCTGGAATTGCTCTGGACACACCTAATCCTCATTTAATAAATGCCCATGCACATTCATCCTAAGGAGAAGGACAGAGAGGGGTCTGTTTGGCAAATAACATTGTTATGTTCCATGCCGGGGAATGCCTGTTTAATCTACTTTGCTAACAATAAATTTAAATGTTAATAACTGGGGTGTACATACACCATAAACGGTACAAATGTCATGTGTACAGCTTGATAAAATTTTACATAGGTATACCCTCATTCAACTGCCTTCCACCTCAAGACATGGAATATTTTCACCCTTCCTCAAAATTACCACGTGCTCTTTCCTGGTCCTGAGCAGGCCTTCAAAGGTCAGCAGTGTTCTACTCCAGTTGCCATGGGTATTTCATGCTCCTCTTGAACTTTATGCAGATGGAAGCAGAGAGAACATGCGCTTTTGTATCTGATATTTTCACTCAAGAAGACTGTGAGGTTCAACCATGTTCTAAATAGCAATATTAGTTCTTTTGTTTTTATTGCCTTGTGGTATCCCAAGTTTGACTTGTGTTTATAGTTGTATATGTAATTGCTCCTTCTATTTTTTTTTTTGCGGGGGTAGGGGGTGGTGGGATGGAATTTTGCTCTTGTTGCCCAGGCTGGAGTCCAATGGCACTATCTCAGCTCACTGCAACCTCCGCCTCCCTGGTTCAAGCGATATTCTCCTGCCTCAGCCTCCTGAGTAGCTGGGATTACAGCCACCACACCCACCTAATTTTTTGTATTTTTAGTAGAGACGAGGTTTCTCCATGTTGGCCAGGCTGATCTCAAACTCCTGACCTCAGGTGATCCACCCGCCTCAGCCTCCCAAAGTGCTGGGATTACAGGCGTGAGCCACCGGGCCTGGCCCCTCCTTCTATTTTATATAGTTAAGGTTGGAAATTGATATGGTTTGGCTCTGTGTCCCCACGGAAATAGCATTTCGAATTGTAATCCCCATGTGTCGGAGGAGTGGCCTGGTGGGAGGTGATTGGACCATGGAGGTGAATTTCCCCCTTGCTGTTCTCGTGATAGTGAGTGAGTTCTCACGAGATCTCATGGTTTAAAAGTCCGGCGCTTCCCAGTTCTGTCTCTCGCTCCTGCCGCCTTGTAGACGTGTTCGCTTTGCGTTTGCCTTCTGCGTGATTGTAAGTTTCCCGAGGCTTCCCCAGCCATGCGGAACTGTGAGTCAATTAAACCTCTTTTCTGTATAAACTACCCAGTCTCAGGTACTTCTTGATAACAGTGTGAAAATGGACTGATACAGTAATGATATAAGCTAGCATGACTGCTGACTGTGAACTGGAAAATGGTGCTAAGTACGTGACATCACTTGATCTTTTCAATACTGTGAGATTGGTACTATCATTAATCCATTTTACAGATGAGATAACCAAGGCCGAGTAACTTGCTCAAAGTCTCACAGCTGTTAAGAAGTGAAACCAATATTTGAATGCAGGTTTCTGACCATGATCGTGCGTTCTTAGCTGATATATTATGATGCCTGTCACTCTGGGTGCTTTAACAATGACCACCAATGAGAGATTGACCCTGGACAGCATGCAGTTTCCTTTAATTTCAAGGACTTTTCCTTTTTCAGCACCCGTTTCTTTGTCCTGTCTAATGGGTCTAAGGCATCTTCAACCATGCTGGTAGTGACCTGGGCTGTGCCACCTGTCCATGCACTGTCTGGATTTTCCCAACTCCTTCAGATGAGCAGATCTGTGGACTCGTGTTCTCTCTTATGTAACTGTCTCCCTACAAAAATAACCTTTTCTCTTTGCTGGCTCTCTGATCACTTCCAAAATCCCTGTCCTTGATAAGTGCAAATAATAGAAGAATCTGTTCTACCTTGTGGTTCCTGTTAAGGTTACACCTAAATTGTCTCTGAAAAATAATTGCCTATTTTGTTAAAGGAAATGTTTAAACTTCCTTTGACTTGTGTGTCTAATAAACCCTCAGCAGAAGGAAGTTTATTTTTAAATACAAATTACTGTGGCCACTTAACGCCTCATTTCCTTTTTCATTCTGCTAATTGGAGATGGGAAATGGCTGGTCAGCCTATTTCATGCTATCAACTTGAGTACATTTAAAAAGATAATCAGAGGCTTTGCAGCAGTTTTAAGTCTGGCTTTGATTCAATATCTGGATAAAAAGCCTCCACATGCCCTTATGATTAAGAATTCTTGTTTATGTTTTCATGTTCTCCAGGGTGCATGCAGACCTCATCTTTTGGGGTTTTATTGCTAAGTACATAGATATGGTGTTGTTTGGGTTTATAAACGTGAGTAGTTTGCTAAATAATTCTCTGTGTTCTAACAGGAAATGAAGGTCAGGACTAAAAGATGGGATGCTCTTTGCTTAATCTGTCATCACACTAGGTTTTCATAAATTACATAATATCCATTTATCTGTTTATCTTTCTGTAATTCTAATTTATATCCTAAATTTCATGTGAAAAAGCTTTGAGAATTTTTTTTTTTTTAATGAGCCGTAAGCCGGGCATGGTGGCTCACGCCTGTACTCCTAGAACTTTGGGAGTCCGAGGCAGGAGGATGGCTTGAGCCTAGGAGTTCAAGACCAGTCTGAGCAACATAGCAAGACCCTGTCTCTACAAAAAACAACAACAAAAAATGATCCAGGTATGCTGGTGTGTGCCTGTAGTCCCAGCTACTTGGCAGGCTGAGGTGAGAGAATCACTTGAGTCCAAAAGTGAGCTGTGATTGCACCATTGCGCTCTGGGTGACAGATTGAGACGCTGTCTCAAAAAAAAAAAGGAATACAGAAAAAGAGAAATCCCATAGGACAAATGACCAGCGATTTATCACATATATGCAGCATCACAAAAGAGGTGGAGGCAGACACTGGAGATTAAAAGAAGCAAGAAATAAAAATGGAATGTGATTGGGGACTCTTCTAATCTTCATTCAAGCAAATCAACCATACCAAGACCCTTTCTTTAGGGAATCAGATAAATTTAAATACAAACTGAGAATTAGATAATAATAGGGCATTGAGCATTAATTTTGTTACTTGTGATAATGGTTTTGTGGTTATGTTAGTAAAAGAGTTCTTACAGGTAAAGACATACTGGAGTATTTATGGATGAAATATGGTGTCTGGAATTTGTTTTAAAATGCTCTAGGAAAAAATGGGGAATAGATAAAAACATACAAAAGGTTGGTAACATGCTGATGTTTGTTAAAGTTGGGTGATGGGTACAGGGGTTCATTTTACTATTCTCTCTACTTTTGTGTGTTTTAAAAATGTTCATAAGAAAAGGTTCAAAAAGAGGCATAAGAGGAAACTATATGATGACATAACTCTCGCATTGTGATATATGAGTACAGTCTTAGAAGTTCCTGTGAAATACAAGCCTGTAATAAAATGAAATCTAAAACTCTGTGTCTGCCAAACAGTTTTTATTTCTTTTTGGAAAAATATATATTAAGTTATTAATTATGTTTCTATCTTGTTTGCAGATGATTCTGGGCCTCCCCCATCTACTGTCATTAACCAAAATGAAACATTTGCCAACATAATTTTTAAACCTACTGTAGTACAACAAGCCAGGATTGCCCAGAATGGAATTTTGGGAGACTTTATCATTAGATATGACGTCAATAGAGAACAGAGCATTGGGGACATCCAGGTAATAGGATCGTCGTTGCTATTTCATGTTGGTTGGTTGGTACTTTGGACAGACTCATACTGTGGATCCCAATATTTACCTAAGGGAGAGAGAACTTTCTGCTTCTTAGTAAATTTGTTTTAATCCAAAGTATTTCTTCAAAGAGACTAGCGGTATTTTTTTGCTGAGGGAACCTATTTCCAGCTTCAGTAATCTGCAGCGCAAGTGAAATCTGTAATATAAAGCTCCCTGTGGTGTTTTAGATGAAATTAGAATTTTAGTTCATGCTCCATTTTATTTTATTTTTGAGACCAAATCTCACTCTGTCACCCAGGCTGGAGTGCAGTGGCCGATCTCGGCTCACTGCAACCTTCGTCTCCCAGGTTCAAGCAATTCTCCTGCCTCAGCCTCCCGAGTAGCTGAGATTACAGGCACCCACCACCACGCCCCACTAATTTTTGTATTTTTAGTAGAGATGGGGTTTTGCCATGGTGGTCAGCCTGGTCTCGAACTCCTGACCTCAGGTGATCTGACCCCCTCAGCCTCCCAAAGCACTGGGATTACCGGCCTGAGCCACCGCGCTTGGTCCATGTTCCATTTTAATTAAAAGAGGCTGCTCATTTCCCTTTAGGTCTTATTGTTCCAGAGACAGGGTGGGGATATTAAAACCTATTAATTGCATCCAGAATGTAGAGAATCTTGATGTCTCAACTTGTAAGATGCTTGGTAAAAAAAACATAATGAAGGAAGCAGAATTCTCAAGTAGCAAAAGTCCAAGGGATGGATAATTAAACTTGAACTGGTAGTCATCACTGATCAATTTTAAAGGGAAGAGTCTACCCTTATACAGATTAAATGAGCAATTAGTTCTCTTGGAGGGATCAGGGCCTTAGATAATTTTACTCCGGGTGTGGAATCTCACCCTAAACTCTTTGTCATGCTTTAACTTTTAGAAATTCCATAGACTACCCACTTCAGGTATTTTTGCTCCCCGCTCTAGGTACTACCGTTTTTACTTTCTTTTCCCTCCACCAGGTTCTAAATGGCTATTTTGTGCACTACTTTGCTCCTAAAGACCTTCCTCCTTTACCCAAGAATGTGGTATTCGTGCTTGACAGCAGTGCTTCTATGGTGGGAACCAAACTCCGGCAGGTGAGTGAGTGCCAACCGCCCATTTATTCCTCTCTCGCTTTTGCCTGGGACAATGACTTGCTTTGCGAATAAAGTTCGGTAGATGCCAAACGTCAGCTTTACCATCCAGCGATTCCTGCCTATGGAAAGCCTTCTTGAGCGGATTCAGTTAAGTCATTTGACATAAACTGTATTTCAGCGTGGTGGTTTTAAGAGAGCAGAGGGACGTGCTGTAGAAACCCCTTGAAATAAACAGCACTGGCAGAGTGGATAATGTAAGTGAGACAGGAATCCATCGACAGGGCCAGTCCTCAGCACTATCATTGATGGAGTAATTCTGTTCAGCGATGATTCCTTTGAGAACAGTGGAATAGAATCATTGGAAGCCTCCTTAGAATAAAGAACTCAGGTCACAGTAAGTCAGGACTGATGTCACAAAATTTAGGATGAATCTTAAAATTCCAGGGTGGTGGGGAGACATTCAGGGGTCACGTAGTTTATGTCGAAAAATTAGATTCCTGAAAATATGACTATTTATGCTTTTCTTACAAACCACTGGAAAAGACTTTCTTATCTTATTCTGCTATCATAAATGTCAGAATCTTTCATATACGATACATTTCAAACTCACATAATAGAAAACAGAGCTACTGGCTGCCAGACCAGCTAATATCTTTACATTCTTCAAAAACATGAATCTGTTAGTTTGTCTTCTAAAATTCATTATCTATTTTATTTTATTTATTTTTTTGAGATGGAGTTTTGCTCTTGTTGCCCAGGCTGGAGTGCAATGGCGTGATCTCAGCTCACTGCATGCAACCTCTGCCTTCTGGGTTCAAGAGATTCTCCTGCCTCAGCCTCCTGAGTAGCTGGGATTACAGGCATACTCCACCACACCTGGCTAATTTTTGTATTTTTAGTAGAGACAGGGTTTCATCATGTTGGCCAGGCTGGTCTGGAACTCCTGACCTTAGGTATCCACCTGTCTCGGCCTCCCAAAGTGCTGGGATTACAGACATCAGCCACCATGCCCGGCCTTTTTCATTTTTTTATACAATTCACAATGCATTTGTGATTTAATGAGTGAGATACTATCTCAAATCTCATAGAAACTCTCTGTCCAACCTGCGTCCACCTCCAGGTCCTGCCTCACACGCAGTTGAACCTACTCCTAGCTGATAAACTGTTGCAACTATTTTTTCTCAATCTCAATCTACTACTTTATAAATGGCTTCTTTGGCCATTTATATTTTAAAAATCTGGCAGTGAAATCTGTATCTTCATGGCTTTCATGGTTTTCCATGGCTTTCTGGTTTTTCATGGCATCTGGTTTTCCTACACTCCAATAGAGCAAAAACATATTTCAAAATATGAAGTGAGACTAGGGTTTAACTATTGTCTTTCAGAGCCGGGGTATCCAGTCTTTTGGCTTCCCTGGGCCACACTGGTAGAAGAAGAATTGTCTTGAGCCATGCATAAAATACACTCACACTAACAATACTAATGAGCTAAAAAAAAAATCACGCAAAAAAATCTCACGATGTTTTAAGAAAGTTTATGAAATTGTGTTGG
This sequence comes from Homo sapiens, assembly GCF_000001405.40. NCBI lineage: Eukaryota > Metazoa > Chordata > Mammalia > Primates > Hominidae > Homo > Homo sapiens. Next base: position 7,614,430 of record NC_000010.11, on the reverse strand, counting down.
GCTGCATTCAAAGCTGACCTGAGCTGCATGTGGCCTGTGGGCCAGGGGTTGGACAAGCTTGTTTTAGAGGATAGCCAAATATAATGTCGAACTAATGTAGGGGGAAAATAACCTTGCTCTGTGAATCAGCTTTTAGTGGTTCTTTAACATCACGTGCTCGTCCAGAGCGCAACCTGCCAACTGCTCCATTTTTGACTTTTTCTTCCTTCTGCTTTCTTGACTTTCCATCTGGGTTCCTTTTCTTTTGCATGAGGAACATCATCCATGAGCGTATTTTTAAAAATAATTCTCTGTCTTTGTCTGAAAATGATTTATTTTACTTTTATCCTTTAAGGATAGTTTTTACTAGGTATGGTATTCTACACTGGCAGTCATCGAATGATGAACATAATATTTGAAAATCTGTTTGTAGAAATAGTTTGAGGCCTAAGATAATGGTCTGTTCCTCTAGAGAAGGTTTGGGCTTGTTTCTGTCAGATCTCTGGGGGAATAAAAATCTGGGATTACTTTAGTCCATTTTCAGGGATGGAGGTGTTTGGGCAGCCCAAATGGCACGAAGCTGGACTGCAGAACTCTTAGGAGCTGGCATATTTCTGCTTTGCACACAGTGTAGATTTGCCAGAGCACCCCTAAGCTACAGAGGGGATGTGCGGCCTCTCAGGTGTCTCTTCGGTCTTGACAAACATCCTTGAGACACAAGTGGTCCCAAATGCTGAGCTCACCTCTTAAAATTTGCATCTTCTCTCAGATTTTTTTTCTCACTGTTTTGTTTGCTTTCTGCTACTTTAAAGATTTTTTTAAAACCCCATTTGTTTAGCTTTTTTAGTTCTTACTGGGAAGCTAAAGAAAATATTTAAGTTCTTTTTCAAATCTCCTCTGTGATGTTTTAGGATTTTCCGTTTTTTACAGTTTTTAATCTTTTATATTTTCTCAAGCACAGTAAACATGTACTTGTCTGTGTCTGCGAAATCCAAACTTTGGAGTCCCTTAGGGCTCAAGTTACTTGTAGGTTTCCCAAAGTTTTTCCCAAAGTTTTTGTTACACCAAAGTGAAGCTTTCTCTTATAGTGGCTGATATTTATTGATGTTTTAGAGGCCACATAGCCTTTCCTTATTTACCAAATACCTTGTGAAGTTCTTCGCATTATGGGCTACAAGTTCTTTTTTTTTTTTTTTTTTTTTTTTTGAGACGAAGTCTCACTCTGTCACCTGGGCTGGAGTGCAATGGCATGATCTCGGCTCACTGCAGCCTCTGCCTCCTGGGTTCAAGCAACTCTCCTGCCTCAGTTCCCCCAAGTAGCTGAGATTACAGGTGCTCGCCACCATGCCCAGCTAATTTTTGTATTTTTAGTAGAGGTGGGATTTCACCATGTTGGCCAGGCTGGTCTCGAACTCCTAACCTCAGGTAATCTGCCCACCTCAGCTTTCCAAAGTGCTGGGATTACAGGCATGAGCCACCGCGCCCGGCCCTGTGTACTACAAGTTCTTAAATGCCATTCGTTGACCAAGTTGTTTTGTGACATTGATGGCTGCATGATCGATGCTGACAGAAGAATAACCATGGCTTCTTTTAAGACCACTGTGGATCACAGAATACCGTGTTAATTAGGCTTACATACGATCAGTATGATAATTGCCATTTGGATTTTGAATCACTTAACAGTTACTGAGAGGGTACCATGGGCTGGGTTTCCTCAGGCATCTCATTTAATTCCTAGGTACCTATGAATCTTCAGATGTTCTTTCTTTTCCTTTCTAAAAAAAAAAAAAAAACACAGCTTTTTTGTGGGGGCAGGGTTTGTATTTCCTCTGAACAAACATAACTTGCTGAAGATATTTATGATTAAATTAACTGCAACCAGTCTGAATTCCTGTGACTACCGAATAGTTTGTCTTCTGATGTTTTTATTCACCCCCATATTATGAATATATCTTATGGCATTAAATATTCTTTAAAAACCTGATTCTAATGGCCATAGAGCAACACTGTTCACTAGAAGCTTCTATGAGAATGGGAATGTTCTACACCTGTGCTGTCCAATACAATAGCCACTAGTCACATATGGGTGTTGAGCAAGTGAAGTATGGCTAATGGAAGTGAGGAACTGAATTTTTAATTTTAATAAATTTAAATTTGCATAGTTAATATATGGCTAATAGTAACCATATGGGAGCGTGTAGCTGCAGAACATTTATTCACCCTACCACCCATTAGAGACTTTTCAGCCATTTCCATTTTTTGTGATAATAAACCCCATCGGGATGACTGTCTTCATGTAGAAATGCCTGACGCATGCCCTGTCATTTTCTTAAATTAGATTCTTAGAATTGGAATTACTGGGGCAAAGAGTACCAATTCATTTGTGGGTTTGGTACACATTCCAAAAACATTTTCTAAAAAGTCTGTGCCAATTTATAACATTTAAAACTGTTACTAGGCTAAGATTTCCAAATGGGTTAAGAGGCTTAAGGTAATCAATGAACCACACCCCAAAATATGTAAAAAAAAAAAAAAAAATTGCAGGTGGATATTTAACTGATTTTCAAGTGGGAAGAAACTTTCTAAGCCTAAAAGCAGTATAATCACTTTTAAGCCTAAAAGTAATTACAAAGGGGAAAATCGGTAACTTTAGCTACATAAAAATTTTAAATTTTTGTTGTAAACAAAAAAAAGTAAACAAAACACTAGAAAATTGCATGCAGGAAAAAGAAGTAAGTGTATCATTAATATGTAAAGAACTGTTCCAGATTAATGAAAATTAATCCTATATAAGAAAATGAGCAAAGGATATAAAACAAGCTACTAGAAAGAAATAAGATGATTTGATAAAATTATGAAAAAACCATCAAGCATATTAGTAATTAAAGAAATGCATCTCAGGTGCCAGAGCACTTCAGGGTTTAACCTCAAACCTAGTCCAATCCAGTGCCCCAGGGTTGTCTTCCACTTCCTGTGGGAGAATGATCAAGAATCTTCTTGCCAAATAACCCTCAGAAAAATAAACCCTGCCCCAAATTATCCAGAGAAAAACTAATGAACTAAATTAGGGTCTCCTAAATGTACCTTTAATCATAAAATAATTCGGGCACTTCTTAAAAATATGGCATGGGCCATTTCCAAAATAGCTAAGAGTATTATGTGAATGATTTAATGCAAGAATCTTTAATCTTTAAAATAATTTAGTTGTCATCCCCATTTTACTGATGGAGAAACTGAGGCTTTGCAAAGGTAGATAAGTTGGCTAATAAATGGTGGTGGCAGCCTTTACTCCCAGGTCTGAAGTCTGAGAACTAAGCCATGTACCGTGCAAGTAAGAGTGTGGTTGCGGCAAGAAGGCACACATGTATGCAGCTGGCAGAAGTGCAAATGGATACAAGGTCAAGGCAGTCTTACATTTGAAGACCCAACTGAGAAGGCTGCATTGCAGAAGGCAGGGATTTCCTCGCATGATGCAAGAGCAATGTAATAACAGATGTCAGATCATTTGTTATTCTCCCCTCTTCCTTCATTCCTGGATATTAAAATTCCATTCCTTGCTAGCCACTGAAAGTCTGGCATGCACTCTGCTGGCTTCGAAGCTTCAGCATGGCCTCTTTCCAGGAGAGCCACCCTAGACCAGCCAAACACATGTCTGAGCAATTTTGAAAGCCCCTCGCTGCCTTGAGTGGTTTTGAAATCTGCGGACTATTTTTGCAGTTCTCAGCATCTCCAAGGCCACAGTACTAAGTGAAAAGCTTAGCTGGCTCTTTGAAGAGTCTTGTATATGATGTTATGTCTATTGGTGAAGAGGACAATTATCCCAAGCAAAGGGCTTTTCATATTGTGTCAACAGGCTTGGCAATGTGGGACATTTGTCATGCATCCACATGGATTCTATTAAGAATCATTCACTGTTATTCCCAATGTTCTTGGCTCCCCTCGTCTTTGACGGGCCTGAAAGACCTTGCTGCATTTATTGCAATGTAGGACACATAGTTGGCATTTAATAATTACTTGAACTATTGATTTAGAAAAAGCTGTAAAGACCATTCAACCTTAAAAAAATATTCTCGGTAAGGGGTATATTGGCACCTGGGGAGCCCCCAAAGCTGTGTGCCTCTGGCATTTTCTGGTTCTTGTCCTAATCCCAGTGGGAACATGATCCTGGAAGCCAGGACCTGCCTGGCTTGGGAACAGCAACAGAGCTGCCTGAGGTTTGCTGGCACGTGGCTTTGCTGTTTTCCCTCCCGTGTGCTTTTGCAGATGAGTTTGTTGAGAGATGGCTGTGGTGTTGGGTCAGGCAGGGTTTCTACCTCCCAGTTTGAGCTAAAACTTCTTGGTGAGAATGGGAGCTGAGAAGAGCCAAAAAAAAAAAAAAAAAAGAAAAAAGAAAAAAAAGAAAGGGAGGGGGGAGAAAAATGTAATCAGGGAAGGCTTCTTTTTTTTGTTGTTAGTTGCATGCTTAAAGCATTGACATTTGCAGACAGACATGTAGTCCTTGGGAGGATTAAGAATATGCTTTTCCTTGACCATGGTGTCCACTTTCTTGTCTTTCCTTTCCCTGATCTATAGAATTAGATCTACTACTTTCACATTCATATTAAAGAACTTGGCTAAGGGACCCTCTTTGGCAACCAAGCAGTGACGAATGGATCACTTACCAGATGTTTTCCATGCTTTAATGGTCTTCAAACCTGTTCCCACACTCTGTGTCCCTCTGTGCCAATTCTGGGTTCCCACGTAGCCTTTGAAGCTTGTCTTCCTTTCTCCATTTTATTTAGTTGACAAATTTAGAGGGTAAAGAACAAGCATGTTTCTTATCTGTAATTGTCAAGTTAAAATGAGGGCAAACGTGAATTAGTCAAGTTAAAATGAGGGCAAACGTGAATTAACGAGTAGGAGGACTGGGATCTGCATGTCGATTTTGGTTCACTCACAGGCTTACTTTATGCTCTAGGACATTGGTTTCTCCCTCGCTGTCCAAAATTGGGTTCCCAAGGGCTATTTGGATATTTCATGTGTAACCTTACAGGTGAGTAATTTGTAAGCTCCATGGACTTGGGGAACATCTTGTGTTTGATCATTACAATATGCATTCCCAACTCTTCACAGACAGTGGGTAATGACATTTGCTGCCAAACTACCAGCCCACAAACAATAAATGTATCCTGCATTTTTCTGAGGCACAGTAGTTACCATTGAGTGATCAGTGCGTATCAAGTGCTGTGAGGGTTTTACGTACATTTCTTCATTTAATCTTTCAGCCATCCAGTGAAGTAAACATTGCTCTCCCTATTTTATGCATGGGAAGGTGGAGACCAGGAAAATGATGTAATTATGCTGAAATACACAAAGTTATAAGTAGGAAAGTTAGGATTCAAGCCCAGGTCAGCCTTACCTAAACCACTTCTCTGTAACGTCACATATGGACCGTAACACAGTGGTGGTCTGTAGACCACTTTTCAAGCTTTGAGGCTCTGTTTTTGTCACCAAGTAACGTGAAGGACAGTGCACTCAGGTGAGTGCACACAGATGTCACCTACTCAAAGAGGTGCCAGCCAGCAGGCTAGTATTGTGAAAAACTCACGAAGCTGTTCTGCTTTGATTCGTAGAATTATTGAGCAACGTTTTATTATTTAACACTAAGCACTCCTTGGGCGTGTATGGGGAGGCAAACTTCTTTCCCTTTCATGATGTGGATCGGGCAAGTGACATCCGAGTGTGCGTGCAGATGGCAGAAATGTAGACTGAGGCAAAGTGGCTCGGGCAAGCTGGGTGACTGTCAAGTCCAGTGATGTCCAACAGTGTGATATTGTAGCTGCCTTCTTCAGACTATGTGGGTCTGCCACATTTCAAAAGAGAGGATCCAGGCCAGGTATGGTGGCTCATGCCTGTAATCCCAGCACTTTGAGAGGCCGAGGTGGGAGGATGGCTTGAGCCCAGGAGTTCGAGACGAGGCTGGGCAGCATAGTGAGACCTCATCTGTACCAAAAAGATAAACAAAATTAGCCAGGCATGATGGCCCACATCTGTAGTCCCAGCTACTTAGGAGGCTGAGGTAGGAGGATGGCTTGAGCCCAGGAGGTCGAGACTGCAGTGAGCTATGATGGCGCCATTGCACTCCAGCCTGGGCAACAGAGCCAGACCTTGTCACAAACAAACAAACAAAAATTAAACGACGGAGATCAAAGAAGGCAGTCAGATTCACCGAGCAGCCTGGAGGAAAGCTCAGCATGAGCTGCGGGACCCAGAGGGCCTCTGAGGGCTTGCCATCTGGTTAGGGGAGAGAAATCCCTGAACAAATGAAGGCGCTCAGAAAGCAGGAGGATGCAAGCTTGCCCAGTGAGTGCATGCCTGAAAGACTGGGGGAAGGGGTCTCAGAAGGCAAGCGCTATGTGGCTATCATGCAAATAAAAATCGACAACAGAGAGCGTCGGGTCCACCTGCTTTGCCTGTTCAGGTCTAGGCCTTGTTTAAGCACCTGAAAGCAAGGCCCCAGGAAATATCAGAAGGAAATATCAGAAGAGTCTAGCTTCCCTTTTTGGCTTTCTGGAGCCAGTGTCATCAAACTTGTTTGTAAAGGGGCAGATGATAAACATCTTAAGTTTTGCAGACAAGATTTTTTTTTTCTTCTTTCGAGACTGAGCTTCGCTCTTGTTGCACAGGCCGGAGTGCAATGGCGCTATCTCAGCTCACTGCAACCTCCGCCTCCTGGGTTCAAGCAATTCTCCTGCCTCAGCCTTCCGAGTAGGCTGGGATTACAGGCATGCGCCGCCACACCTGGCTAATTTTGTATTTTTAGTAGAGATGGGGTTTCACTATGTTGGCCAGGCTGATCTCGAACTCCTGACCTCAGGTGATCCACCTGCCTCAGCCTCCCAGAGTGCTGGGATTACAGGCATGAACCACAGCGCCAGGCTGAAGATTCATTTTTCCAAGTTTCTCCCCTCTCCCCTCCTCTTTCTTTCTGTAGAGACAGGGTCTCACTATGTTACCTATGCTAGTTTTGAACTCCTGGACTCAAGCGATCCTCCCACCTTGGCTTCCAAAGTGTTGGGATTACAGGAATGAGCCACCACGCCCGGCCCCCAGATGGTTTCTGTTGTAACCACTCAACTCTGCTGTTGGATGCAAGATCTGTCCTCCTTGTGACAAGAGCACAGCCACAGGCCATATGCAAAGAAATGGGTGTGATTGTGTTCCAGTAAAAGCTTATTTACTAAAAGCAGGCAGCAGCAGGGCCCCTGAGCCACAGTTTGCTGACACCTGTCTAGAGCAAGGACTCATCAAAATGACCTTGAGTTACATGCCAGTTGATTGTGTTTATTCTCGTCTACTGGGCTGCCCTTGTCAAGACGTTGCTACCAGCAGATGCATGTTTCAGGAAAACATTGCAAAACAGAGATTTGAGACTTGAGGCAGGAAGCAGAAGACAGTGGGGAAAACTGGTTTTTGTCTCTGACTCAGAATATGAGGTAATAAATGATGGACAGAGGGCAAAATATTTTTTCCCTAGGCCATGAGTGAAAGCTTGAATTTTTAGTTTCAAGAAAAAAAATTGCTCTCCAACAATGATAATACAGATAATTTAAAATAAATTAGAGGCACCCATTGAAAAATTTATTGCTGTTGTTGAGGTAGTTAAGATTTACCCGGATGAAGTATATCTTAGAGGTAAAATGAGGTCCTATTTTATTTATTTTTCCTTTAAACTTTTATTTTAGGTTTAAGAGGCACATATACAGGTTTGTTATATGGATAAATTGTGTGTTGAGGGGGTTTGGTGTACAGATTATTTCATCACCCAGCTAATAAGCACAGTACCTGAGAAGTAGTTTTTTGACCCTCACCCTCAAGAGGCCCCAGTGTCTGTTCACTTCTTCGTGTCCATGTGTACTCAATGTTTAGCTCCCACTTATAAGTGAGGGTATACAGTATTTGTTTTTCAGTTCCTGGGTTAATTTGCTTAGGATAATGGCTCCCAGATCCATCCATGTTGCTCCAAAGGACATGATCTTATACTTTTTTATAGCTGCATAGTATTCCATGGTATATTTGTACCACGTTTTCTTTATCGAGTCCACCACTGATGGTCATTTAGGTTGATTCCATGTCTTTGGTCTTGAGAACAGTGCTGCCATAAACATATGCATATGTGTGTCTTTATGGTAGAATGATTTCTATTCCTTTGGGTATATACCCAATAATGGGCTGGCTGGATTGAGTAGGAGCTCCGTTTCCAGTTCTTTGAGAAATCGCCAGACTGCTGTCCACAGTGACTGAAGTAGTTTACATTCCTACCGGCAGTGTATAAGCATTCCCTTTTCTCTGCAACGTTGCCCGCATCTGTTATAAAATGAGGTCATGTTATTGAAATGTGTAGTATCTCTGAATGTGGGCACTCTGTGGCTGTCATACAAAGAGACACTTGTCAGTATAGAGTTTGGGGTGCTCCGGCATCACCTGCTCAGATTGCAGCCTTGCTGTGAGCATCGGAAAGTGTGGCGCCAGGAAATCACAGAAAAGCCTAGTTTCCTCCTTTCTGGTTTCCCAGTTTTTCACTTAAGTCCCAAATTGGAATTGGCAGACTTTTTCTGTAAAGGGCTAGATAGGGGCTGAAACGAAACTTTGCTACAAGTAACAGCAAGATAAACACTACAAGTCAAAGAGAATTAAATGAGAAGTGCTTATCAGTGTCAGAATGCTTTGTTACTCAGGGATTGTGTAGTCTTGGCTGGCTGATTGAAATTGCAACTGGGTAAAATTCCTAAGCGCTGGCATTGCCTGATAGCACAGCCCCCCACTTCTTGGGTTCGGGACACCTGACTGTCACTCAGCTTCCCACTTTGACTTTAACTCTAGACTTCAGATTCTCCAAACATGAAACAATTATGGGTTATAGGCTGTTGGGGGTGGGGTGCTAGGTATGGGGGACACAGAGATAAATGAGACACAGCCTTTCCTCACAAGAAGCTCAGAGAAGAAGAGAAAGTCAGGCAAAAATTATATAGGGAGTGCTCTGTGTAATAGGGCATATGTAAGGGCCAGTAGTTGCGTGATGGGGTGGTAATCAGTTCTTTTTAGTAGTGGGAGAGTAGGGGATGATGAATGATTCTCAGAGGAGGGCGTAGTTGGGTGAGTCTCAAAGGCCTCTTAGAAGTTAATCGAGTGGGTGGCATGAGAAGAGGGGGATTGGATCCAAGCAGAATGAGAGAGATGCGTGACATGTGCAAAGCGTGGAGGCAGGAGAAAGCGTGTCTCTAAAGGCATCAGCCCTAAGTCACTTTCACCGAGAACTTTAGAATTTTGCTGGGGAAAAGAAACAGAATAGACAAAGCCCAGTGGCTCATGCTTGTAATCCCAGCACTTTGGGAGGCCAAGAGGGGCAGATCATCTGAGGTCAGGAGTTCGAGACCAGCCTGGGCAACATGGTGAAATCTCGTTTCTACTAAAAATACAAAAATTGGCTGGGTGTGGTGGTGGGCACCTATCATCCCAGCTACTCAGGAGGCTGAGGCAGGAGAATCGCTTGAACCCGGGAGGCAGAGGTTGCAGTGAGCCATGATCACACCACTGCACTCCAGCCTGGCGACACAGACTCCATTCAAAAAAGAAGAAAAAATGAAACAATCTTACATTATTCAAAACTAACATAGATAGTGGAAAGGATTGTAGGGGAGAGAAATAACTTGAGATAGGGAAAGATTAATGATGGAGATGGAAAAGGAACTGGTTCTTGAAGATGGGATACAATTTTCTTGGCAGGAAAAGAATGAGTGAATTCTTGGTTGGGGAAAACCACGAGGCATGAAAGAAGGCTGAATATGCTATAGTGTGAAGGTTTGGGTCATGTTTTGGACCAGATAACTTGAAAACCTTCCTGATACAAACATTTAGAAAAGGAGATGAATCGAAACACATCTTGCTGGTAAGGAAGACACAATCTAAGAGTCTCAGAATGAAAAGAGGACGGAGAAGGAAAACGCGGAGCGTGTGAGTTAAGTGATATCCCCCAGGAGAGTTACCACTCGCTGGGTCCTCGGGCCTGAGGCTTTCATGACCCTGTGGGAACAGCAGATGAGAGCTTGGGCGCTCTGAGGTGGGGGGTTGAACCTGAGACCCCTGATGAAGCTGGCTCCATCAAAGGACTGCACCCTTAGGGGAGAGTAGGCAGAGGAAACCTCCACCCACTGATGCAGGAAGACAACATAGAAGGTTGCCCAACTCTGTTTGGCTTTGGAGGTTGGGGGGCAAGGGAAGACTTCCCTTATAACCATGGGACCCAAATCAAATAGCCTGGAAGCATGTGAGCAGGTGATTGAATGTACACTACCATGGAATCAAGGAACTCTGATAATCTACCCATCAAGGGCTTCTGGACCAGGGAGAACCTGGAGGTGCCTGGGAAGCTCCTGCAGGGCCGTGGCACCAACTTATGCTGCAGGGGATTCCCCCGGATAAAGCCCCTCTGAGAAGACGCTCACGACACAACAGCACAAAACACACAAGGAGGCAGTCCACGCAGACCAAGGGACAGTCATGCCACACACTTCAAAAATACCCATATCAGGCCGGGCGTGGTGGCTCATGCCTGTAATCCCAGCACTTTGGGAGGCCGAGGAGGGCGGATCACAAGGTCAGGAGATCGGGACCATCCTGGCTAACACAGTGAAACCTCGTCTCTACTAAAAATACAAAAAAATTAGCTGGGCGTGGTGGTGGGGCCTGTAGTCCCAGCTGCTCGGGAGGCTGAGGCAGGAGAATGGTGTGAACCCGGGAGGCGGAGCTTGCAGTGAGCCAAGATCGCGCCACTGCACTCCAGCCTGGACGACAGAGCGAGACTCCATCTGAAAAACAAGCAAACAAAAAACAAAACCGTATCAGCGTTGTTGAGATAGAATTCACAGCCCATAACATCCACCCTTTTAAAGCATACCATTCAGTGGCTTTTAGTATTTTCAGAGAGTTGTGAAACCATCACCACTATCTAATTTTAGGACATCTCATCATCCCCCAAAGAACCCCCACACTGATTAGCAGTCATTGCTTGTTCACCCCTTTTTCTAGCCCTTGACTACTACTAGTCGGCTTCCTGTCTCTGGATTTGCCTATTCCAGACATTTCGTATAAATGGAGTTACACAGTGTGCGGCCTTTTGTGCCTGGCTGCTTTCAGGTAGCATGATACCTCCCAGGTTCAGCCATGTCGTAGTGTGCATCTGCACTTCATTCTTTTTTATTGCTGAATAGTATTTCATTAGATGGATATACCACGCGTTTTTTAGCAGAGATTCTGAGAGCGTGAGGTGAGTTTGAGCTTGCACAGATTTGTGTGCCTCAGCTGCAGCTACACTCAGAGGTGGGATTTAGTTGTTTACGTGATGCTCAGGTGTAGGATTTCTTCAGTGGCTGATGGAAGGAGCCATGCAGCTGGAAGTGCTGTAGGAATGTAATTTGTGGGCCACAGCTGTTGGTAAGACAAATAGGACACGGAAGCTATGAGACACGGGGAGCCTGCATGGAATGAGAGCATGTGCCCCACAAGAAGGAACTTGAGCCAGAGTGGTGACTATGAATGTGGAAGAAGGAAGAACGATGGAGCTGTTATTAAAGAAGAAGTAGTGTGGCTTAGTAATTAGCTGGATAGAGTAAAAAAAAAGATTCTTGAGACTTTGGAACCATGAGTGGAAGTAGGAAACCCTAGAGGAGAAGCTGATTTGAGAGAGAAATATTATATGAGTTTGTTCTCACACTGCTATGAAGAAATACCCGAGACTGAGTAATTTATGAAGGAAAGAGATTTAATGGACTCTCAGTTCCGCATGTCTTGGGAGGCCTCAGGAAACTTACTATCATGGCAGAAGGCAAAGGAGAAGCAGGAACCTTCTTCACAGGGCAGCAGGACAGAGTGAGTGCAAGCAGGGGAAATGCCAGATGCTTAAAAAACCGTCAGATCTTGTGAGACTCACTCATTATCATGAGAACAGCCTGGGGGAAACCGCCTCCATGATTTAGTTACCTCCACCTGCTCCTGCCCTTGACACGTAGGGATTATGGGGATTAAAATTCAAGGTGAGATTCGGGTGGGGACACAGGCAAACCATACCAAATATTATGTATTGAGTTTTCAGCAGATTAAGACTGAAATGGCAGTGAGGTGGTGAAGGTATTCAGATGGAGAGCCTGGAGGTATGGACTTGGGAGACCCCAAAACAGATGTGGTAGTTGAAGAATGGATAAAACTCCTTCAGGGAAGAGGAGAGAGAGAGGGAGGATGAAAGGCCAAAAACTGAGCCTTAGGCCAGGCATGGTGGCTCACACCTGTAATCCCAGCACTTTGGGAGGCTGAGGCAGGCGGATCACCTGAGGTCAGGAGTTCAAGACCAGCCTGGCCAACATGGTGAAACCCTGTCTCTACTAAAAACGTAAAAAATTAGCCCTGCGTGGTGGCACGTACCTGTAGTCCCAGCTGCTCAGGAGGATGAGGCATGGGAATCGCTTGAACGTGGGAGGTAGAGGTTGCAGTGAGCTGAGATTGAGCCACTGCACTCCAGCCTGGGCGACAGAGGGAGACTGCATCTCAAAAACAAAACAAAAACTGAGCCTTAGAGTGTATCAGATTTGGTAGGAGGAAAAGTGGGTGATATGCATGTGATCAACAATTCTACAATCAATGAAGAGAAATTCTGGTGAGGGGATTTAGTACTCTAAGGGTAGCCCTTGTTCTGAGAAAAGCTGCTGCTCAGGGATGGCCGTCGGCCCTGTGTGGTGGCGTTCCCCATCACAGGGTGTTCACATGCATTCCTGGGGCCACCTGGAAGGACCCCCAGAAGCAGGTCATGCAGAGGTTGGCGATATGAGCTGCTTGATGCTGGCTACTGGATACCAGGAGGGAGGTCGATGCTGCTGAGAGTGTTCAGAGTTCCTACGGAGCAGACTTGTGTCATTGAGAGAGAGACAGCCTGGCAAAGCAAAGCCTCAGCTAATCCTCAGTGCAGTAGTGTTTATGATTTAGCAATGGCCTGGCAAACTCTCCTTGAATTTGGCTCTGGAAGATTTGCTTCTGTGAGGACAAAGCAGTCACCCTCCCCAGATATGAACACTTGGCATTTGGCATTCTTGACCTCCAAGAACCCCCCTGGGCTGGCCCTCTCTCTGAATTGGGGTAAAGAAGAGGAAGTTCTCACAGTCACTGTTTTAGACACTGTTCCTTTGATTCTCTGAAATCTCCCACTTTTGCTTAGATGTGGTCATGATGCACATTTCTACAGTTTGCCAAATGACATCAGTTGCTGATGTTTCAAGAAAGATGGATAAGTAAAATTTGTGGGGAGAGGGGAGCCAAATTAAAATTAATAACAATTAAGAGCTCTTTCCCCACTGGTAGCAAAAAATGTTATATTTAGTGGTGCCATAGTCTGTGTCTTAGTCCATTCAGGCCACTATGGACTCATATATGTGCCATAGACTGAGTAGCTTATAAACAACGAAATCTATTTCTCACAGTTCTAGAGGTTGGAAAGTCCAACATCAAGATGCCAACAGACTCTGTGTCTGGGGAGGGCCCACCTTCTGGGTCATAGATGCAAGTTCTCCGCATGTCCTCCCATGGTGGAAGGGAGTAGCTAGCTAGCTCACTGGGGTCTTTCATAAGGGCACTGATCCCAACCATGAGGGCTCTAATTTCATGACCTAATTACCTCCTAAAGTCCCCATCTCCTGGGACCATCACCTTGGGTGTTAGGATTTCAACCTTTGAATTTAGGGGGACCCAAACTGTCCCTTGTGTACCCCTAGGCTTTGCCAAATTCTTAGCTTGAAGAAGGATGTTCTGATTAACCAAATGTAAAGTCAGATAATTAGTGATTTCCCAATCATCTCTTCTAGGTGCACGTGTAACTGGAAAGGGAAGGCAAAGGCCAAGGTAACAAGACAAATATCCAGGAGGAGAGACCGGGCTCATTTCTGGTGGGCTGGGCAGGGCTGGGTTGATGGCAGCAGTGGGCTGAAGGGACCTAGTGCTCAGAGATGTTCAGGAGACAGTTGTGGTCACTTTGAGAATGTGCTAGACTGAAGGAAAATACCTAGAAGAAGACAGAAGCATGTTTCAGGGGACCAGGTGGGAAAATGGGGTTTCAGAGGTCAGATTAAGGCATAGCATTGGAATTATTCTCCCCCTAACATCCTGTCCACTGGCTCAGATTTCTGAGATATGGAGCACATCTGAAACTTCAGCCAACCTACCCCCTTTATGACTGGCTAGAACTTAGTTCTGAGGCCATTTTGCTTTTCTTCCCCAGGTAATTGAGGCAGACAGAGTAGGAAGAGATGTGAGGTTTCTACTTAACCCTCCTTCCCCATAGATCTAAGAAGCCTCTACTGCCTTCTCTGCTCTGGACTCTGTAGCTATCCACATCCAATCTAGCACAAATAAGGAAGATAAGAAAAAGTAACCAGAGCACCTCTCAATCCCCAACAGTTAAGTTCACCCGTTTTTATAATTTCTTCCCTCTTGCAACAGAAATCTCCGTCTCCAGTCTCATTGGCGACCTTAACTAAGAGTCTGGGAAGATGGAAAGAGACCCAGGAACAGTGTCACTCTCCCTGCCTGGTGGAGGGGCCTCCACTTCCTCTACATATTTTCTTGTATATACAATCTACATTTGTGGATATGCTGTGTTTACTTCTTAAATAATTGTTCCATGATTTTACGTGGAGCATGGCTTTTTCCCAGCCTGTCCATATCTTTGTGTTTCATGTTCTCGATGTTTGTGAAGACACATCTCTGGGAATTTATAATGAGAGGTGTAGGATGGACCAAAGCCAGGGAGAGAGGAATCGTGAGAACTTAAGGGAGAGGGAAAGGCGATCAGGTCAAAGGCAGATGGAGAGTCCGACACCAAAACACCTGTACAATGAAACATGCGGGGATCTAGAATCCAGACCTGCAGTAGGACAATATAAACTTCAGATTTAGACCAGGAGTGAGAAACCAAGAACTCAATCATTTTATCAGTTAGCGTGTCAGAACAGCGGATGGGAGACACCAGTTACACACAGAGCTGAACCTCTCTTGGTCAGCATCATCCTCTTACTTCCTATTAGAGCAAGCAGCCATGCCTGGGGTTCACCTGGAGCCAAGAGTTAGAGGTAGGTTGGGTTCTTGTTAAGGCTGTCAAGCCTATGTACTAAGGCTGTGTTCTTGGCTAGAATGAGAAGTATGGAATTGACAATGAATGTAAATCCTCTGAAGTACTGACCTTCCACATGAAGAGAAGTGGGAAAAAAAATCTATTTCTAGCCCTGAGTTATTTACACATCAACTATAAAAAATGGATTTGCCTACTATGTCGTAAAGAATAGCAGAAATATTATTGGCAAAGAGCTTTTCAGAAAAACGTACAATGACATGATTAGGTAAATGTTTGATACACTTGTCAAAGCAAAGTCAAAACATTAGATAACTAATCTTAACATAAGCAGAGGGTTAAGATGAGACAGTTCGCTTCTCAAGTTAGAGTAATGTTATGCAAACACAAAGATTAATGGAATTAGTTTTGTTTATATTGCAAAAAATGTTTTAATATCTAAA
Organism: Homo sapiens; assembly: GCF_000001405.40. Classification (NCBI taxonomy): domain Eukaryota; kingdom Metazoa; phylum Chordata; class Mammalia; order Primates; family Hominidae; genus Homo; species Homo sapiens. The sequence continues at coordinate 7,598,860 of NC_000010.11, read as the reverse complement.
CCTATTCAGCCTTTTTAAAAAAAGTTAAGGCTGACTTTAGCCAGAATTTAATCTTTAGCAATCTTTCTATTTTAGGACCAGTCTTGAAGTGGTATTGGTATTTAGAAACTTTACAATAAAAGTGTTTTTTGTCTTGCTATGAAGAAATAATTTGTTTATATTTTTACATAGATGGGGTAAACATATATGCAAATAAGTATTTTGAATCAGAGTTGCGATATTATATAGCACAATACTGCATTCAAAGAGCATTTGAAAGGAGACTTTAAGCAGTAAATGAAAGTGTAGTAGATTAAAATAATATATTTTAAAATATAGGAGCCCTGTGATTTTGCTTCATTGAAGAAATACGCTTTTCTTGGCAATGTGAATGAAAAAATGTTGAGAACAAAGAAAAATGTTTTCTACATTTACTTCTAAGTGAAATTTCATTAAACTGTTTTAAAATATTTGAAGACATATGACTTCTATCCCAAATTTTCCATTTTATGAAGAAAGCTAATTAGTTTCTGCCATTTCTCCAAAAAATATTTTGGCCAGTAGAAAAATCGTTCTAGTTTCTTGCAACAAGATTTCCCTTGTTGACAGAGACACCTTTTTTGGTTATCTTCTGTATGTTACAATTAAACATTTTTATTTTTAATATGAATTATATAATGTGGTTCATTTCAGGAGGTATTTGTAGCAGAGGGGCAACAAAAGGAACTTGGCATTGCACGATCATTGATTTCCTTTAGGCATTTTCATAACCCCCTGAAGTGTTACTTACACTCTTACACTATAGTCAATGGAGTAGCATTCTTTTGTAATGTTTTGATTTCTTCTTGGGAGCCAATCTGTTGCTAGATTTTTTAGAAGTACAACAATGATATGGACCCAAATACATTATGGCGAACTGGTTCTTCTTACTCAATTTATTGCCTTACTCCTAAGACTGGGGATTAAAAAAAAAAAATCTGATTATTTGGTGGGTCAGTCACAGTAAGATTTCAGAAAAGCTTCCTTCAAATTACTGAATGACCTGCAGAATGTAACATAAGTTTATATTACCTTTTATAGAATAAGTTTTTGTAATCTTGTAATACTATGGACTTGGAATACCCCCACTGAGGCTTAGTGGACACCCAGAGCCTGGGGACATCCCTTGGCAAGTCATGGCTACTCTGGTCTCAGCCATGACCGTGACTCCAAGGTGACTTGGGACCATGCTGTGTACGGGTGTCTCTGGGGTACAGAGGGGGTGACTCCAAGGTGACTTGGGACCATGCTGTGTACGGGTGTCTCTGGGGTACAGAGGGGGTGACTCCAAGGTGACTTGGGACCATGCTGTGTATGGGTGTCTATGGGGTACAGAGGGGACAACAGATCTGAGGCTGGGAAGGCAGACATTTCCATTCTCCTCACTGTGGGCTTAGGCAAGAAGTTTCAGGTTGCAGTAAGAATCTGTTGTTGTGAACTTTGAAGTCACAGATAGTTTTTAATTTTGGTTGGTTCCTTCAGATGGCGTGATGACGGGGCCATACTACCACCCACCAAGGGGCACTGAGGACCTCCTGCCTGCTGGGTCAGGAAGGCCCAAGGACAGTACAGACACCTGCCCCCTCCCCACTGGTGTCCATGGCCTCTGCCCACCTTAGAAAGGACAAAGGCTGACTTGTCACTACAGCTTGTCTTGGGCATATTTCATTTTCCAAAATTACCTTTCAGAAACTTAGGGCTGTTTTCATTTGCTGATCATGATTCTCTTCCATGGCTCAAATCAGGCTTTTAGAAGGTCTTTGATTTCTTTGGTGGAATTTTTTTTTTTTTTTTTTTTGAGTTGGAGACTCACTCTGCACCCAGGCTGGAGTGCAGTGGCATGGTCTCTGCTCACTGCAACCTCCACCTCCTGGTTTCATGCAATTCTCCCGCCTCACCTCCCGAGTAGCTGGGATTACAGGCATGCACCGTCATGCCTGGCTAATTTTGTATTTTTAGTAGAGACGGGGTTTTGCCACGTTGGCCAGGCTGGTCTCAAACTCCTGACCTCAGGTGATCGTCCTTCCTCGACCTCCCAAAGTGTAATCCCAAAGATTACAGGCATGAGCCACTGCACCCGGCCTTTACTGGATTATTTTAAATTGTTCATCTTAGGTCTTTCCCTTAGGCTCATTCAAAAGAACTGTGTGGATCAATGGGAAGGAAAATGTCAACTCCCTGGTGAACATTTTAGACTGAGGCAAGTGATGGTGCCACTCAGGAGAACAGCGTGATCATTGTGCAGGAGGCGTGGAATGGCTAATGCTGAGTTCCCTTGAACTTGGATTCATCTGTGATGTCATGGGTTCTCCTTGTCTTATGCTCAAAAACCTAGGGTTTGTGGCACAAGAGCCTTTTGTGTCAGGGTTAGTTCCCATCAAATATGGTTTGAGAAAAGCTGCATTGTGGGTACCCGATGGAAGTGGGAGGAAGCCGTGGGCCGCAGCTGGCTCTTCCGTGGGCTCCCTTGACTTCCCCTCTGAGGGTCTTATTAGACGCGATTCTACTTGGGAAATGTTTACTGGTCATTCATGGCATGGTAGTTAACGCAATGGAATGCTTCCCCTTTGAGGGCTGTGCCAAAAGCCTGAAGCTCCTTGGGCTCAGCTTTATAGGAAAGAGGGAGCGGAAGAGAAAGGAAGACCCTATCTCTTGTTTCCAGTGCAGCTTCATGCAGGGCCTGTGGTGTGCAGGACAGACACCATTAAAGAGACTCTGTAATATTCCTCCCCAAAGATCCGCTAGAACAAGCAAGACCATTGCCAGCTGTACTGAAGGGATGGAGAATCTGAAATAGAGTTTACATTTATTTGTTTATTTATTTATTTATTAATTTAGACGGAGTCTCGCTCTGTTGCCCAGGCTGGAATGCAGTGGCGTGATCTCGGCTCACTGCAACCTGTGCCTCATGGGTTCAAGCGATTCTCCTGCTTCAGCCTCCCGAGTAGCTGGGACTACAGGCACGTGCCACAATGCCTGGCTAATTTTTTGTATTATTAGTAGAGATGGGGTTTCACCATGTTAGCCCGGATAGCCTCAATCTCCTGACCTCATGATCCGCCCGCCTCGGCTTCCTAAAGTGCTGTGATTACAGGCGTGAGCCACCACACCCGGCCAGAGTTTACTTATATTTATGTCCTGCCTTGTGCCTGGAAGAATTTAAATAGAAAGAAATTAAAGGACTTACTTAATAGTAAATCTAAGATGGAGCTGGAATGGACTTCTAAGATAGTGTTTTTAAAGCAAATAGGCTTTTGTTCTTTTAACCCAAGTGAAGTACGTATAAGAAGAGGAATTCATCACCATAAAATAGTATTAAACAGAGTAATCTCTATCCTTTGTGACTCTAGTAAGAAGAGGAATTCATCACCATAAAATAGTATTAAACAGAGTAATCTCTATCCTTTGTGACTCTAGATAACTAGGGTTAGAAGGAATCTTGTGTAATGCCTGCATCCAGGCCAAGGTATGTCTTCGCTACCCGAATAGTAAGAAATATATTCTTTCCGTTTACTAAGTGTATCTATCTGGGCGCGATTTTCAAAATCTCCCTTCAGTCCAAACATAATCTGGTATTTTTTATTTTTTCAATTTTAATTTTATTATTTTTTTATTTACATTTTAGAGCTAGGGTCTCGCTCCGTTGCCCAGGCTGAAGTGTAGTGGCATGATCCTAGCTCACTGCAGCCTCAAACTCCTGGGCTCCAGTGATCCTCCTGCCTCAGCCTCCTGAATAGCTGGGACCACAGCCATTGCTCCTAGCCTGGAATTTTTAAAAGATCTCTTCTGATGACATGTGGACCCATGTCTGCAGCTTGTCCTCTTGTGTTAGCAGAGATGACGCCCATTCACTATGGATTGTGCTTTTAGGAACTGGCACGGACCCCCCAGGGGAAACCCGAAGGGCCTCTTGTGGGTTGACCTCTGTAAGAACCCTGTTTTCCTCCTCAGTGAGGCCCACAGGTGCCCCTTATGTTTATCCCCTAGGCACAGGGGCTTGGTGTTCCTGCCTCTTCCTGATCCGCCACTCTCCCCAAGACTTGCTAATTCCTCCCCACTGGCTTCCCAGCCAGGAGTTGTCAGGCAGTGACCCTAACCCCATCCCCTTGGTTTCCACCCCAAATAAGCCCTTGTCCTTGTCCAAGAGTATAAAGACAATGAGTTGAAAACTCTTCTTATGGCCCCAAAGAGCAAGAGTGGCCTTCTAAAATCAGACACTTAATCCCCTCGCGAATCAGGCCTGTACCCTGATTGTATTCATCTCCATGAAAACTGCGATACATATGATCATACATTTTATATGCCTGTTTTAGAAGATCTCCAGGGAAGACATTTCCACAGCCCCCTGTGGTCATCTTTTAAGGAATTAACTTCATGACTCCAACATGTATGTTTTGGGGGTACCTGTCTCAAGCAGGCTGGCCTCTTTCTAGCATGGAAGGCCCCTAGAGGGAGCTTAGAGGACACGAGCGTGGCTTCCTGGGGTGCCCAGTGTCTCTTCCTTCAGGCCTAGTTAGTTGGAAAGAGCATTGAGGGTAAGTGGTGACCAGCTGTGTCCATCACCTGCACTGGAAGAGTCTACAGCTCTTCCTAGCCATGATCATGCAGCCTCAGGATTGGGAGGGACTCTGAACGGGGATCTTGTCCAGTCCCTGAAGTGATGTTCCCTTTTCCTCTGGACAGGCTCAGAGGACACAACTTCTGCCTCTCTGGGCATCCTCTGATCTGTCTGGAATGTGCTTACCCTGTTCTCTGGACTGTGCTCCTGGCAGAGTCTGACTGCATTTCAGTTCGTCTTCAGCATCTGAACACGATGTGCAGAAAGATCAGCTCCAGCCCCTCACATGAACCCTTCTGTGTGGACGCTCCTCCTCTTTCCTCTTAAGCCTCCCACAGGAGGCAGAGCTCTTGGCTGCTCAGCCCATTGGAGGTGGGAAGGCAAGTCAAGGGTTAACAGAGCCAGTGGCTGCAGTCTGCAAGGATTGGTGGGGCCAGGTGGCTGCAGTCTGCAGGGGTGAATGAGGTTGGGTGGCTGCAGTCTGCAGGAGTTAGTGGAGGAGGTGGCTGCAGTCTGTAGGGATGAGTGGGGCTGGGTGGCTGCAGTCTGCAGGGGTGAGTGGGGCTGGGTGGCTGCAGGCTGCAGGGATGAGTGGGGCTGGGTGGCTGCAGGCTGCAGGGGTGAGTGGGGCTGGGTGGCTGCAGGCTGCAGGGGTGAGTGGGGCTGGGTGGCTGCAGGCTGCAGGGGTGAGTGGGGCTGGGTGGCTGCAGGCTGCAGGGGTGAGTGGGGCTGGGTGGCTGCAGGCTGCAGGGGTGAGTGGGGCTGGGTGGCTGCAGTCTACAGGGGTGAGTGGGGCTGGGTGGCTGCAGGCTGCAGGGGTGAGTGGGGCTGGGTGGCTGCAGTCTGCAGGGGTGAGTGGGGCTGGGTGGCTGCAGGCTGCAGGGGTGAGTGGGGCTGGGTGGCTGCAGTCTGCAGGGGTGAGTGGGGCTGGGTGGCTGCAGTCTGTAGGAGTCAGTGCCTGCCCCCTCTGGAATGAGGGCAGGAGTCCATCCACATGGTTCTCCTCTGAGTGGGAATGGAGCCACCGGGAGGTGCCTGGGCTGCCTTCCCTGGTGCACGCAAGGACAAGTTGCAGCTGAGGCCTTACAAGGTCATAAGGAGCCTGTAGCTGCTGAGCTGAGGGAAGGAGGGTAGAGAGATTGAATAGCTCTTCCTAAAGCAGAATATCCGTCCTGTGGGGAAAAAAAAATGCCAGCTTAAGAGCTAGGCGGGTCCCTCTGGAGGTTCTTGGCACACTGTGAAGGATCCCCAAGGATGCCAGCAGCTAAAGCAGCAGCTCTGCCATGGGTGGCCTTCCTGGCAGGCCCCCATGCAGCCTGACCACTCTGGGCCCAGCAGTGTGCAGCATGGAGACTCTCAGGAGGGCCTGAGAACTGGGCCCAGCACCCCAGCACTGCCCCACCACCGCCACTGCATGCTGCTGTCCCTCCCATCCCAGCCGGCACCTTCAGTCCTTCCTGGGTGGGGACACCTGGACTGTGAGTGCGCAGGGTCTGTCTGATGCTCACACAGGCTGTGCTGAGCCCAGGATGAACCAGGGTGAGAAGGGCCCAGCACCCTGGCTGAGGCCGCCCCTGCCTGTGGAGTGCAGTTCTCCGAGTTATTGATCATCACTGCAGCTTGTCTATCAGGCAGCTTGGAGCTTCCTGCACATCCTCTTTCTCAGTAGTGTCTGTCTTAGGTTCTCAAGGGCTGGGCTGTGTCTCATGTCCCTTGAATTCACCAACAGAACCTCTCTGTCTCTTTCTCCTCCCCTCTATTTTCCTCTTTCCCCTACTCTTTCTGTTTCTCTCTTTCTCTCTGTCCCTCTCTGAGTATTCTGTCTGTCTGTCTCTGTCTCCTCTATCTCTGTTCTTCTCTGTCGCTGTCTTATTTGTTTAATAATACAGCAGATATTTACTAAAAGCCTACAATGTACAAAATGCCATGATGTTGGGAGGGTGGGGCAGGGCAAGGGGATGGCTGTTTTGAGGAACTCCCTGTCCAGTGTGACAGGTGGATCATTTATTCACTGCTCACTTATTCAGAACACATTTGTCAAGCATCTCCTATGTGCCAGGCACTGCTGGGTATTAAATATAGAATAATAAATATACAATAATAAACCAGAAAAAGTGTCTGGGCATGGTGGCTCACGCCTGTAATCCCAACACTTTGGGAGGCTAAGGTGGGCAGATCACCAGGTCGAGAGATCGATACCATCCTGGCCAACATAGTGAGACCCTGTCTCTACTAAAAATACTAAAATCAGCTGGGCATGGTGACGTGCACCTGTAGCCCCAGCTACTCAGGAGGCTGAGGCGGGAGAATTGCTTGAACCCAGGAGGCGGAGGTTGCAGTGAGCCAAGATAGCACCACTGCACTCCAGCCTGGCGATAAAGCAAGACTCCATCTCAAAAAATAAATAAATAAAATACATAAATAAATAAAACAGAAAAAGCTCCTGCACACAGAAGCATAGACTGGAGATGGACAGACCAGTCAATGCACAGAGAGAGAAGGATGTTCTGTATATCAACGTGAAAGGAGAGAGCAGGGGCCCATGCTTTGGGGAATGGTGGGCAGGGCTGGGAGGCAGGGAAGGGCTCTCTTGGAAGTTCATGTGTAAACCCAGGATTGCAGGACAAGAAGAGACCTGCAGCAGCAAAGACTGAGAGGAAGAGGAAGGGAGCTCCAAGGAAAAAACAGCAGGTGCAAGGGTCTTGGGGAGGGAAAGAGCTTGCAGAAGTCATGGCGGCACAGCGTGGACATTGTGTAGCTGGGGTACGTGTCAGCCAGTGCAGCATCGGGGATGGAGCTGTCATCTGTCTTCACTGTTGAGTTAGGAATGGCCTCACCAAGGAGGGGACATATCAAGTGAGTTTTGAAGGGTGGCTACAGCTCAACGTGTCAGGAAGGCGGGGAAGGAGGGCAGCCCCTGGTGCCACCACAGGAAGTCACGAGAAAGCAGGGTGGGTTTAGGGAAGCTGGGTGTGGGCAAATCAGACCTTGTTGTTGATAGCTGGGGTAGACTAGCAGGAAATAAAAGACAGGGATTTGAACCAGGACCATTTATTTTAATGAGGATTTTGTATCCAAAAAGAGACATTAGGCCAGGCACAGTGGCTCACGCCTGTAATCCCAGCACTTTGGGAGGCTGAGGCAGGCAGATTATGAGGTCAGGAGATTGAGACCATCCTGGCCAACATGGTGAAACCCCGTCTCTACTAAAATAGAAAAAATTAGCTGAGCGTGATGGCGTGTGCCTGTAAGCCCAGCTACGCGGGAGGCTGAGGCAGGGGAATCGCTTGAACCCGGGAGGCGGAGGTTGCAGTGAGTGGATACCGCGCCGCTGCACTCCAGCCTGGTGACAGAGCAAGACTCTGTCTCAAATAAAATAAAATAAGAGACATTAGACTTTATGCTGAGGGCAGCGAGGGGCCATGGAAGGCTTTGAAGAGAGGAGGGTTGAAAATCCACGTGGCAGTAATGCAGAGCCATGCTGGCTCCTTCCTAAAGTGCAAGCCCTTTGTCGCTCCGCTTCCACGTATGGGAATTTATCCTAAGGGAAGAGTCTTGGGCACAAAGACGTGGGGATAATGAGCTTCCCAGCAGCGCTGCTCAGATATTGCAAAATATTAAGACATGGTGGATGCGTGCAGGAGGATGCTGGGTTGCTATTGAAATGACGTGGCAAACATTTCTCCATTGACATGAAAACCGTATATGATACGTTACAGTAAAGAGAAACTTTACAGCACGATGTATGTATTATATGATCCCACTTCCTTTAAAATCACACGTGCACACGCACACAGCCGGGGATGTTTCTGAAGTGGTGTGTGGCACACCAGCATTTTAGTAGTGGTTGTCTCTAGGTAGGCGTGATGATGTGAGTTGTATATGTTTTTCTTCTGATCTTTCAAAAAATGAGTAATATTTTTGTATTAAGAAAAAATACAAAGGAAGTAAAGGAATATCAGTTTATGGTCACAGGGATATTTAGGGAGAGGAGTTGGAATTCCAGGGTGGTGTTGAAGGATGTGAGGGCCTGACATCCAGGCTTCCGCCTTGGACCACGGGTGAAGGTTGCAGTGTCCTCTGTCCCGGGACAGAGAGCAGCGAGGAGAGGGAGATTTAAAAAGATGAAGGTTCCATTCTCCACCGAGTCGAGTCTGAGCTACCTGTGGGACACGCAGGGAGAAAAGGTTGGCAGGTCGGTCTGGATGGAACGAGAGGCCAGCTCCAGAGATAAGTCTGGAAGTTCACAGATGACGATGGTAGTTGGCACCATGGGGATGGATGATGTCACCTGGAGGTGAGAACCTCAGCTGAGAAAAGGACCCTGTGACTCACCCTGAAGGGCCAGCGGGCGGGGGGTGGGGGACAACAGCAAAGCCCAGGGGAGCACCAATCCCCTCCAGGGAGGAGCCGGGGAAGCTAGAGCAGGAGGAGTTTCAAGGAGGGAACAGCATAGACTTGACAATGTCTTCTGCAGAGTGCTGGCACACCTTGGGTGTGGATTCTGTTTATTTGCATGGGATACTTTGACGTATTTCCTGGGGGTGGGAGCCAGGCATGGGAGAGGACGGGAAACCGCTGCAGTCAGCCCCTCTGAACAAGCAGAGTGTCGGGGGATAGGAGGAGGGAATAGCAGAGGAGAGAACAGAGAATAGTGGAGGTCTCCGAGCCCTGGGAATGGAAAGGAGCACTCCATTGCTGTTCTTTTCTCCCCGAAGAACTTGTTGCATTCTTCAGTAGGATGAGAAGGTGGGTTTAATGAAATATGTTCATTGTTCTTGTCCCTGGGCAGGTGCAAAAATCCTGCAGTGCCTTCATTTTTTTTTGAGATAGAGTCTCGCTCTGTCGCCCAGGCTGGAGTGCAGTGGCATGATCCCAGCTCACTGCAACTTCCACTGCCCGGGTTCAAGTGACTGTCCTGCCTCAGCCTCCCAAGTAGCTGGATTACAGGCGCGTGCCACCATGCCCAGCTAATTTTTGTATTTTTTTAGTAGAGACATGGTTTTACCACATGGGCCAGGCTGGTCTTGAACTCCTGACCTCAAATGATTTGCCCGCCTCAGCCTCCCAAAGTGCTGGGATTACAGGTGTGAGCCACTGCGCCCGGCACCTGAGTGCCTTCTGCAAGGATGTTACAGGAGATGGATACATTAGTTGATGCCAGAAATGAAGCAAAAGAAACAAAGAAGTAAACAGAGCCCATCAACATACAGGGACTTGGAAGAGATCCCCAGATTTGCTGCACGTTAAAAGGGTGACAGCTCTGAGCCATCTCGGCTCCAGCCGTCCTGGGGCTGCAGATTCTGCTGCCGTTGGTGCACGTGCTGTCCCTGAAGTCAGACTCCCTGCATTTTAATCCAGTCTCCCATGGAGCATGATGCTTAGCCACTCCATGCCTCAGTTGCCCCATCTGTAAAATGGGAATACTAATAGTTACTTTCCCTCAGGTGGCTCGTAAGATTTAGAATTAATCACCTCAACAGAGGAAGAGCCTGTACACTCCGCATATGCCTAGGGAGTAGGAAGCTCCCGGGAAATGCAAGCTGTTAATATCGTCAGCGTCGTCATCATCATCCTTCTAATGATACCATCAACTCCATTGCTTTCTCAGCCTGGGAATGAAGAAGTGCTGGGAAAGTGGAGGAACATTACTTTAGCAAAAACTCACGGGGAGAAAGTTAGGCGAACGTTTGCTCAGCCAAGAAACTCTTAGTTTACTAGCCCTACAGAAAAGAATATAATGTGCAGATGTGTTTTATTTATTTTTTGAGACACATTTTCACTCTGTCACCCAGGCAGAGTGCAGTGGCACGATCTGGGCTCACTGCAATCTCCGCCTCCCAGGTTCAAGTGATTCTCCCGCCTCAGCCTCCTGAGTAGCTGGGATTACAGGTGGGCCACCACGCCCAGCTAATTTTTTGTATTATTAGTAGAGACAAGGTTTCACCATGTTGGCCAGGCTGGTTTCAAACTCCTCACCTCAAGTGATCTACCCACCTCGGCCTCCCAAAGTGCTGAGATTACACGTGTGCACCACCATGCCTGGCTAATTTTTGTATTATTAGTGGAGATGAGGTTTTGCCATGTTGGCCAGGCTGGTCTCTAACTTCTGACCTTAAGTGATCCGCCTGCCTCAGCCTCCCAAAGTGTTGGGATTAGAGGCATGAGCCACCGCACCTGGCCTAATGTGCAGATTTAAAAATAGATGCATTGAGAATAGTTTTCTGAAGTAGAATTTGAGGTTCCTACAAATTCAAGTTGGACAGTGGAATGTGGGATGAGCAGTTGGATTCAGGATTGAAAGGCGGCTGAGGAGTGAGGAAGAGAGAAAATTCCAGAGGGAAAGGATACGAAAGCAGTGGTTATTTCACCTAGCCAGAGGGGCCGACGGGGCCATCTGTCTGAACCTGGGGAAGGAGGAAAGGCAAAGAGTCATGAACCGGGGAAGAGACCTACAGCGTGTTTCAAGGGTGTCCCAGAGCCACTTAGCACATGTCCTTCTGGAAACCACCACTCCCGACTTCACCGTTTCTCTTAAGCTCTGCCGGGGCTTTCCACCAGCCAGCAAGTAACAGCAAACCCATCTAGAACTCTGATTGTGTGGCTGGCCCTGCTCAGAGCCCTTTTCATCTCGATTCTGATTTAATCCTCATGACAACCTGATGAGGCAGGTACTATTACTGTCCTGATTTTATGGATGGGGTAACTTGGGCGCAGTGATATCAGAGAGCGAGTAAGTGAGGGAGCTTACTGCTCAGGGCCCCAGGGCCCCACGGAGAGTCGGGGATGAACCCAGCCTCAAGGGTGACAGCTGGCTCTGAAGCCTGTGCTCTTCAACTTCGTAAAGGTGCCGGATGTCCTTTCATGGTCATTATATAATGAAAGTCCCTGACCTCCTATGCTGAGCCTGTAAGTGTCTAACAACAGTGCTGCTTGGGAAGACAGAGTTTGCTCACAGTGTCTATGGATTACTATAGAAACCTTTTCTAGGCCCCTAGAGTATTTCTGGTTTCAGGTCATATGGCTTCTTTCTTCTTTCCATTCGTCACAGCTGATTTTAGTGTATACCTGTTATCACTGAGCATCCCTGATCTCACCTGTATTACTTCCTGGCTTTGCTCAAACTGCCTTCCTTCTCTTCAGAATGCCCTTCCAAGCCGGGTGCAGTGGCTCACGCCTGTAATCCTAGCACTTTGGGAGGCTGAGGCAGATGGATTGCCTGAGCTCAGGAGTTCGAGACCACCCTGGGCAACATGGTGAAACCCTGTCTCTACTAAAGTACAAAAATTAGCCAGACGTGGTGGCGTGCACCTGTAATCCCAGCTACTCAGGAAGCTGAGGCAGGAGAATCGCTTGAACCTGGGAGGCAGAGGTTGCAGTGAGCTGAGATCGCGCCACTGCATTCCAGCCTGGGTGACAGAGCGAGAGTTTGTATGAAAAAAAAAATAAGAAGAATGCCCTTCCAGTTCTTTCAATGTATTCTTTAAATCTCATCCTCAAATTCCTCTTTCTCTGTAAGGCCTCATGTCACTCCAGCCCATAGTAATAATCTTTTCAATTCCTATGGTATTTATTATTTGGGCATTTAATTTTATAATTCATTAAACGTTCATTCATTCATTGATTCACCTGCCTCACCTTTGTCTAGCACCTCCTTCTTGTCACTAGCTGTTAGGAAGATGAAGGAGACCCTCCTGCAAAGAACTCACAACCGAGTAAGGGAAGGAGATAAAACAATCATCATCGTGTGATGTGTGCTTTATAATAGGAATGCATTGAGGGCTTTGCCAGCCTAAGGGAGGGAATGATCAGCTCTCTTCAGAGAAGTCAGAAAAATTTCCAACAGAGAATTTGCACACTTGCCTGGCTCTTAAGAATGATGAGGGGCTTGTCAAGTGAAAGATGGAGGTAGGGTGGTGGGGAAGAACATCTGGGGTCAAGAGAACAGCAATTGTGGAGATGCGGAGGCCCGAAGTACCGTGGCGGGATGCGGCATTCAGCACTGATTCACTCGTGTCTACAACCGTAACATCTTTATACCATTTTTTCCAGCTGGGTAACCAATTCCTTGACATTCAGCCAAGTGCCCTTTACATAGCTGACACTGAATTTGAACCCTGACATTTTTCCTGGGGGGCGGGGGCGGTTTCTAGAACAGGGGACAAGTGGACTTATGTGAGCAGCTGTGACTGGTTTTGCTTTTGTGTTTGCCTAGACCAAGGATGCCCTCTTCACAATTCTCCATGACCTCCGACCCCAGGACCGTTTCAGTATCATTGGATTTTCCAACCGGATCAAAGTATGGAAGGACCACTTGATATCAGTCACTCCAGACAGCATCAGGGATGGGAAAGTGTACATTCACCATATGTCACCCACTGGAGGTAAAGATGACACCTTCTTTTCACATTGGCTTGGCTTTGAAATAATGTTTTTTTTTTTGGTTTTTTTTTTTTTTTGCCAAGAGATAAGGATTTGAAAGCTGGGGTTGATGGCAGGAAGGGAGACTGCAGGCGAGAGCTTTCTC